>NC_000009.12:32888787-33040303 GCF_000001405.40 Homo sapiens | reverse complement strand
TTTTGAACACCGATCAATTATACTTTCCTGAACATCTGCTTCACATCTCCAACTTTAGGGTAGCTGTGGGTGGCTGGCACAGACTAAAAGGAAGTTGACAAACACTGATGGTTTGGGAACCTTATTTTTTAAAGTTTTTCTCCTTTTTAAACTTGTATTCTTTATGAGAACTTGTTCTCTCATGCTCACTCCAATGTTTGCAGTTTTCTAAGTCCCCTTCTTCTTGGCTCATTACCCAGTCCTCCACTTTTACTCTCCATCCTATTTAATATTATTTAACTATAGTTCAATAGTATTTTTGTATCACTCATTCAGACTAGCTAAAATAAAGCTATGTATCTTAGTTAAAAGCCAAAATTTGATGATCTGGGAAAAAAAAGCCTGTAGTGACACACATTGGAGATGCTTTGTAATTAGTATATTAAGGAGACAATACATTTCAAGAATTGCTTAAATTCTGATACCCAGATTTAAGCATGTGAACATATGAGACTTTTAAACATACAATTAAAGCTATTCATCATAATTTGCTATACTACCAACATAACTTTGGAGCGAAAGTCAAATGGTTTAAAGTAATCCTGTAACATACCTAAAGAACACCTTCCTATATTACGCATGCAAATTCTCCACGTAAAGGTCTTTTCACTTTAATTTCTGTTACCCAGCTCTGAAGTCACTACTTGGGCTTATCATGGTCCACAGACAAGGAGGGGAGCAAATGACCAGGACTGGTCAAGATTATATATATATATGTATATATATATGAATGGCACAGCAGAAGGAAACACAATTCTGGAAGTGCAAGCCTTCAAGAAGCAGCATATTATGATAAACCCCTCCTACAGAAAGGTATCATTTTTATCACTGATACCACAGGATAAATTATATATTACGCCATCTTCAAGTAACAGCTGAGGCAACAGAATAAATGCAGAGGCATTACAATGAATCCCACTTAATATAAAGAACTATACAGACCAACACTTCTCTACAAAATTTTTTTTTCCTCATTGCCAGTTAAATACAGAGTTTTACTTTCATAGCTTAACAATGAAGGGTCATACACTGAAGCCAATACATATACCTAGCATTTCAGTCTAAGCTTGTCCACGTACATAGCTGAAGTCAATTACAAGGTTTGGCCTAGAAATGCTAGGGGAACTTCTTTGTAGTTTTTACAGGTATTAAACTTCATCTTGCACACTGAAGTCATCATACATACAGGGCAAAATCAGAGCTTTTATATTTGCGTTTATTCTTCATTTAACTTTTTAAAACACTACTATAGTTTATTAAAACAAAAACAAGAGCAAGTAGTGAGCATATTATGATTACAGTCCTTCACTCATTCACTACTGCACATTAAATGCCAGCAGTGAGTGTTATTCACTGGCCCATTAAGAGGTCTGACACTGAACACCACCTCTGGGATGATGTTCATCATCCTCATATGCTTCTCCATTGTAGTGGCGCCGTCTTTCCTGATTTGGATCAAAGTCCACCAGTTCTACTTGGTCCATCTCATCAGTCTCTTCCACTTCCTTCCTCTCGGGTAGGAGTTTTTCCAGCAAAGACAGTTTATCAGGAGAGAGAAAGCCATTCTCAGGAAAGTTTACCTTCAAAAGAAACTTTCACTGTTCAATCTGATTTCATCATTAGCTCCCTTAGAGTATCATGGACCCATTTTCCCCAGAAAAACACATGTAAACACGTAATATTTAGGTGAATCTGCCAATCTCAGGTTAGAACAGGCTCTAAAAAGGCACAGTGCATAGCACACTCTGAACTAGAGTTCAAGGATTATGACCAGAAGTCAGGCTTTATTAAAAATGATTGTATTAAATAAAACTGCACTTTAACAACCATTGTTCTATCCAGCAAACTGACTTTTTAATACCAAAACCCATCCTGCAACAGCCTAACCCTTCTTACGACATATTTAAACAAAGCTATTCTTACTCTCAAAAGGGTAGTTCTTCCTTACCAAAGATGTTTTTAGGCCAGGCGCGGTGGCTCATACAATTGGGATTACAAATCCCAACACTTTGGGAAGCTGAGATGGGCAGATCACCTGAGGTCAAGAGTTTGAGACCAGCCTGGCCAATATGGTGAAACCCCATCTCTACTAAAAAGCCCAGCGTGGTGGCGGGCACCTGTATTCCCAGCTACTCAGGAGGCTGAGGCAGGAGAACTGCTTGAACCCAGGAGGTGGAGGTTACAGTGATCCAGGATCGCACCACTGCACTCCACCTTGGGTGACAGAACAAGACTCCCGTCTCAAAAAGGAAAAAAAAAAAAAAAAGTTTTAATTAATATTTTTATGGTGACAGGCCAATTTAAGACTCAGGAAAATGACTGGATTGCTTTATACCTATTAACAAATCAAGCATTACACTATTTTGCCAAGAAATCTGCAATTATTATAAAGCACCTCTCAACTTTAAGATGCCAGTTACAACCTTTCATTAGTAAAATACCCACTTGTCCCACACACCCTTCCCACAACCTATCTTTAAATATCCAATTAATGATGCAAAAAACCCCATCCTCAACTTGTTAACAAAGAATGCTCAACATGACAGAAGTAGTTATTAGGTAAATTTTCTTTTTTCTTTTTTTGAGACAGGGTCTCATTCTGTCACCCAGGTTGAAGTACAGTGACACGATCTTGATTCACTGCAGCCTTGACCACCTAGGCTCAAGCAATCCTCCCACCTCAGCCTCCCGAGTAGCTGGGACTACAGGTGTGTGCCACCATGCCTGGCTAATTTTTGTACTTTTTGTAGAGATGGGGTTTTGCCATGTTGCCCAGGCTGGCCTTTAACTCCTGAGCTCAAGCAATCCACCTGTCTTGGCCTCCCAAAGCACTGGGATTATAGGTGTGTGCCAGTGGCACGTGGCCAGATCCATATATTTCTTGCTGTGGAAAAATGTAAGTTTCAGGTTCTGAGGCATTCAGAAATTTTAATTTTTTTTTTTTTTTGTTTTTTTAAAGAGACAGGGTTTCACTATGTTGCCCAGGCTGTTCTCAAAACTCCAGGGCTCAAGGGATCCTCCTGCCTCAGCCTCTCAAAATGCGGGGATTACAGGCATGAGCTACTTGCACCTGGCTGAAATTTTACTTTTTTATCAGATTTTAGTAAGCCAATTGTTCTCAAGTATTCTTAAAGTACATTACAGCTTACCTTAAATTCGATGATTAGGCGACCCTTTTCATATGGTCTACGATAAATTGGCATGCCTTCATTTAGTACACACTTGATATCTCCATGCTTGACAATCTGACCTAAAAACATTGAAGCCAAGTTCTTCCTTAAGTATGGTCACATTTTTATGAGGCAGGGAATATAAAGAACAGAGCACTGTCCTAGCTCATTGGCAGGAGTAAAACTTACGTGGCAAAGCAATCCTGTTACCTTTCACTTATGGGTTTTCCAAGGGCTGACAAGAGAGCCAAGACCTTATAACTTCATCTAAGCCCAGAGAAGGATATGTAACCGAGAAAGAAAAACAATGGGTTTCCCTCAGTGCCTATACTACACTTTGTTAACAGGAGACAAGGAAAATACTAGAATAGAAAAGAGAAGTTTAAGCTTGCCTAGTTCCCATACCTGGATGAGAGGTGATGACGATGGTTCGGTTGTCAAGAGTAGATATTGGCTTCTGGAAGCCACACAGTGCTTCAACGAGCTGTATGTCCATACACATGAAAAGGTCTTCTCCTCGTCTGCATAAAATATGACACATATTTATATTTTTCAAATCACGAATCAGTAGATGTACCAAAGCAGGCTGTTTTTTTGTTTAATAAAAGCAAAGGGTCTTTTACAAAGACACCCTTTTCTTCCCCCATTGTAAAAATCAAGCAGAGCAGAGATCTGGGAAGAGCAAACATGTGCAACCTGCCAGCCCCGTTTCCTAGTTAAGGATTCAAAGTCATTCCACACACTCTAGGCAGCCTTTACCATTTACCATCAGTGAACTGTTTCATTACCTAGTTTTAAATCTGGTTTCTCAGAGGGGAAAAAAAAAAAACAACTCACAAGAGTGAGGGTTAGGCCAGGCACTGTGGTTCGCATCTGTAATTCCAGCAGTTTGGGAGGCTGAGGAGGGTGGATCACCTAAGGTCTGAAGTTCAAGACCAGCCTGGCCAACATGGTGAAACCCCATCTCTACTAAAAATACAAAAAATCAGCCAGGCATGGTGGCGCGCACCTGTAGTTCCAGCTACTCGGGAGGCTGAGGCAGGAGAATCACTTGAATCTGGAGGCAGAGATTGCAGTGAGTTGAGATCGTGCCACTGCACTCTAGCCTGGGCAGGGTCCTAGATAATTTAGGCTCTATGAAATTAAACAATGAGGATATGTCCAATTTAAAGGGACTCTAACAATTTCCTCATTGATGAACCTGAAATAATATTTCCTGGCATATTGTGAGTGAACACAGCCTTTCATATTTAACGTTAACAGCCCACTTCCTCCTTCTCATGCTTAGACTTTCCTTTTCCAACCCACATTAATAAAACATCTTTAGGCTGGGCGCGGTGGCTCATGCCTGTAATCCCAGCACTTTGGGAGGCCGAGGCAGGTGGATTGCCTAAGGTCAGGAGTTCGATACCAGCCTGGCCAACATGGTGAAACCCGTCTCTACTAAAAATACAAAAATCAGCTGGGCGTGGTGGTGGGCGCCTGTAATCCCAGCTACTCGGGAGGCTGAGGTGAGAGAATTGCTTGAACCTGGGAGTTGGAGGTTGCAGTGAGCCAAGATCTCACCATCGCAATCCAGCCTGGGCCTGTTGAGCGAAACTGCATCTCAAAAAAAATAAATAAATAAATAAAACATCTTTAATACCCTTCTCAAATGACAGCATCAAAAGCCTGAGCTTGACAACATTTCCCATTATCTTCAGACATTTGTAAAATATTAGTCTTTTTTTTTGAGACCAAGTTTTGCTCTTTTTGCCCAGGCTGGAGTGCAATGGCGCCATCTCAACTCACCGCGACCTCTGCCTCCTGTGTTCAAGTGATTCTCCTGCCTCAGGGCCTGCCACCATGCCTGGCTAATTTTTTAATTTTTAACAGAGATGGCATTTCACCATGTTGGCTAGGCTGGTCTTGAACTCCTGACCATCCACCTCGGCCTCCTAAAGTGTTGGGATTACAGGCGTAAGCCACCAAACCAAGCTGAAATATTAATTAATCCTAAACTAGTTTAAGATGTTCCCAATTTCACCTCCACTCCATTAAAAAAAAAAAAAAAAAAAGGTGGGTTCTTACTGTCACCCAGGCTAGAATGCAGTGGCATGATCATAACCTTGAACTCCTGAGTTCAAGCCACTCTTCTGCCTCAGCCTCCCCAGTAGCTAGGACTCCTGGCCTCAAGTGATCCTCCCACCTCAGCCTCCCAAGTTGCTGGGAATATAGCATGCACAGAGGGTGTTATGTTAGCCATGGATCACAAACATTTGCTGTTAATCATCCATCTTTCTTGTGCTTCAGTGTTCATCATACTCATTATTTAGCTCAAAATGGTAGACCTGAATTTATACTTAGTATTGAGTTACAATTTAAGTTTCCTACAGAGATGCTTTTGGATATTTATAATTAAAAGCAATTCAATTTATCATAAATGAGATTGAAAACTGGTGAGAGCTTTAAGGCACTTAAATTGCTTTACAAAGATTGAGGGCAAATTTTTGTCCAGGGATGTTTTCCCCACCCATCTGCTGCTTAGGTTCACACAAAACATCTAATTGAAACACATTTTCAACGTTCCATACTTAGAGACAAAAAGCTAAAAATCTGATCCTATGTATTCAACCTCTTATGATCTGAACAATGGTTAACAATCTTCCTGAGAAATAGGTTCTAAGAGTAATGGAAAACACTTTAAAAAAAACAAAAAAACAAAAAACAAAACCAACAACCCAAATATGTGATATCAATTTGAGTGGTTGATAAAAGTCTTTACCGAGTAAAAACAGCATGGTCCTTCTGATCTAACACAATGATAATATCGCCTGGCTCCAGTCCTGGTTCTTGGTCTCCTTCACCATGGAATGTTATCTTCTGGCCATCTTTCATGCCTAAAAACAAAACATTAATTTTGTACTTTTATTAAATATCCAACTAAGGTCAGAATCATAAAATCTATACATAGATGTTTGTTTATGCATAAAAATCACAGAAATGACTAAGAAAGCCCACTTAAGTAGTTCAGTCCAATTTGCTCCTGAAGAAAGGTATCATAGTGGAGAACACAAACTCCAGAGGCAAAGAGACTAGCCTTCAAATCTCAGAGCTGCTATTCACTGGCTGGATTACCCTGGGGAAGTAAGCTGCATATCCTTTCCAAGTTTCAACTTTCCCACAGACACCTACACCTCATTAGCAATATTTAGAGTATTAACTCAACAGGTATATGCTGGTACTAAACCATGACTGGCTAACACTGGTTATAACCAAAAAATGTTAATTAAGTATTTCAGTTTCATTACTTATAACACATCAAATTACTTCTATTAAAAGTCTAACAGCAATGTAAATCAAGACCCTTCTATTGTAGTATTTATATATAAAACTAAAAAAATTTTAAATCTATAATCTTCTCTTGAGATAGGATCTTGCTCTGTTGCCTAGGCTGGAGTGCAGTGGCACAAACATGGCTCACTGCAGCCTCCATCTCCTGGGCTCAAGTGATCCTCCCACCTCAGCCTCCCGAGTAGCCAGGACCACAGACCAGCTAATTTTTGAATTTTTTTTTTTTTAATAGAGATGGGGGTTCTCATGTCGCTCAGGCTGGTCTTGAACTACTGGGCTCAAGGGATCCTGCCTCGGCATCCTATAGTGTTCGGATTACAGACCTGAGCCCCTGTGCCTGAAAATCCGTATTTTAAAGAACTATTCAGTATAGTCCCCTTAAAAAAAGGGTAATTATACTTTGAGAGGCCGAGTCAGGAGGATACCCTGAGGATAGCACCCTGGAGCACAGGAGTTCCAGACCTTGTCTCATTTAAATTAAACAAGCAAACAAAACAATCAGTGCTAGACACTCCCTTAGCCCATGTGGTCCGTAAAATACAAGGGGAGGAGTATTTTCTAACAGGGCAAAAAAACACGCCTTTTTTTTTTTTTTTAAACTGAGACTTCGTGCCCCTCACCTCTGACCCACATATTTTAGTTCAGTAAGGGTTTGGGCAACGTCTCTTAGAACATAACTCATGTAAGAAAACCTGTGTTTGTAGAGTATTACACCAAAGCAGTTATCTCCTGATTATTTCCCAAGATCACTCTGGTTACCTAACAGAGCAATCATGTTTCACCTTTACGTATGGAAAATATTAATCCTGTATAAACAGAGCCAACAGTACAATGAATTCCTACATATCCATCCAATTTGGCTTCAGCAGTTACTAACTCATGACTAATATTTCATGTATTACACCCCTACGCATGCCCCCCACATATACTTTCAAGCAAACTCCAACTATATCCATTAACCCACAAATACTTCAGTACGTACCTCTTAAATAAGGACTTAAAGCGCTATCAGTATCATACACTGACAAAATTAAACAATCTGTCTTTAATCGTGTATTGAGGCAAAATAACTTGTTATGCTAGGGAAGCAATTAAACTCAGCTAGGTTTTCCTGAATACAGAGTAAGAGTAGGCACAGCACAAATGCCTTCACTTGCTATATAGTTAGGGCATTAATTTCAAGTTCTCACTTACAGTCCATTGTTGATAGGTTCTTGGAAATTGCTTTAAATGAAATGACACATAACAAGACCAATTTTTTTCCCCTCAGCTGTGTTACAGTGACATGACATTATTTGAGGACCTGCATGACATTATTTGAGGTCATTCTGCTAGAAGTCCCAGTTTCCAAGAACCTATCAACAACGTTAAGACTTACTCTGTATGCTATTGGTATCAAGAACACCTCAAAGTATAAACCTTAGGCATGGGCCCACTAAGGGGTAAACACAGATTTATTAAGTTCAACAACTGGCCAAGGAAACTTATTTTTACCTTTCAATGTACTACATTCTTGGGTGGAACCCTGGGGGTCAGAGAGGCCAGTATCATGAGTCACATGATAGAATCCTATTGCAGCCACTTATGTTAATGTAGATTTGTATATTAATATGGAAATATGTTCAAATATTAACAGTTCCAGATTGGTATCATACCACAGTACAGTATAATAGTAGACCCATTTATAAACAGCAAAATCTGAAAAGAGATTACCATAATGTTGACTTAAGTTTCCTTCTGGGGTTATATACATTTCTTAAAATTTCTGCAGTGTATTGCTGTAATACATTTTAAAATGTTTTTGCAAGTTGACAAGAGTAAAATTTAAAAATTGACAAATCAATCAAATCCCGAGAATACAAAAAAAAGGTTATATAGTTATTTCTAAATCTGGAGCCCAATGGGTTAGGGAAGTGTCAAGTCTAAAAAAATGAAAGGTAGTCTATCAAATCAATTAACGGAGCATTTAAATATAATAGATGGGCAAGTAAGCCAATTAAGTGGGCCAATACGCTTATTTAAACTAGCCCAGGCCAGGTATGGTGGCACACACCTGTAATCCCAGCATTTTAGGAGGCCAAGGCAGGCAGATCATTTGAGGTCAAGAGTTTGAGACCAGCCTAACATGGTGAAACCCCATCTCTACTAAAAATACAAAAAAAATTAGCCAGGTGTGGTGGTGCACACCTGTAGTCCCAGCTACCTGGGAAGCTGGGGCAGGAGAATCGCTTGAACCCAGGAGGCAGAGGTTAGAGTGAGCCAAGATCGCATCACTGCACTCAAGCCTGGGCAACAGAGCAAGACTCTACCTCAGAAAAAAACAAACAAACAAAAACATGCCCATTGGTTTAAAAAATAAACATGAGGCGGGGTGCGGTAGCTCATGCCTGTAATCCCAGCACTTTGGGAGGCCGAGGCAGGTCATCACCTGAGGTCAAGTGTTCGAGATCAGCCTGGCCAACATGGTGAAACCCCGTCTCTACTAAAAATACAAAACATTAGCCGGGCATGGTGCTGGGTGCCTGTAATCCCAGGTACTTGGGAGGCTGAGGCAGAAGAACTGCTTGAACCCGGGAGGCAGAGGTTGCAATGAGCTGAGATCGTGCCATTGCACACTCCAGCCTGGGAAACAAGAGCGAAACTCCGTCTCCAAAAAAACCATGAATTTTTATGAGACCCAATTCTTCACCTAACTCCCCTTTCAAATCCTTAAAAGTATGCCTATCCCTTGATCTAGTAACTCCTAATTAAGAATGTGTACAATTCTAATGTTTTAAAAGATGGAAGAACTATGGTTTAACAGGAGAGAATTAAGTTTGGAACACTATTCAATCATTTACAGGACCACAGATTTCAAAAGATGATCCTGTTATATTAAATGAGGAGATTCCTAATATATTCTGTATTAGTAATATACCAATGTGCAAAATTATGTCTGGATAAAAGAACATTATTTACTAAGCTGCTAAGAGTTATTTCTGATTGATAGGATCATATATAACCTAATTAAGAATGATTTTTAAACAATTATAAAATGTTAATAATAAATCTGCCACAGCATTCAAGACTTCAGAATAAGTAACTCAGAACTCACCTTTGTCAATATGAACTTCTAAAATTTTCTTCTCTCGAACTATCTTCCTTCCGTTGCAGCTTTTACATCTATCTTTAGGACTGATCCGCTCCCCATGGCCCTGGCACTCCATGCACACAGACTGAATTTGCTGAACCATTCCAGGTCCTATCTGATGAATTCTTATTTGCATTCCAGTACCTCGGCAATTGGGACAGCACTCTACTGCTCCTTTCTTACCTCCTCTACCTAAATTTAAAAAGAAAATTAAATAATGTATGAATTAGTAGTGTATACAGTAGTAAATGTTTTAAGAAGACAATTCCTAAATGCTATACTTTTAATATTTTCGAAGCCTGATGGAATGCTACCCTCTGAATGTACAACTGATGAGATCATTCCAATGAGTTTCATTCTTATTAGAACACACTTTCCAATAAATTTTACTTATTACAAAAAAGATACCAAACTAGCTTGATCCCAACTGTATTTAAAATATACACAGAAAAAAGTGCTGATATTTCTTTAGGTGGGAGGTTTTCAGTTGGTTTTCTTCATATCTGCCCTCTCCTCCCCCAAAATCTAGGTAGTGTACATGAATCAATTTTACATATCTATCTAGAAGTCTTAGCTCCATTTTCAGGTGTCATATTAAAGGTGCTTAAAAACAAAACAAAACAAAACAAAAAAACACCGTACCTTCACATTTGTCACAAATCACATTCTTTTGCAGAGCCAGTTTTCTTGTTGCACCATTATATAAGTCTTCTAGGGTTACTGAGAGCTGATGTACAACATTTTTACCTAAAACAAAATATTTCTCATTGCAAATCTGTTTAAGATGCTGGATCTTATTTGTGCTAAAGGCACTATAAAGAATGTGGCAAAGAATAATAAAAGATGAGCCTCACAGGGTACATCTGTTGACTACCTACTATATACACAGAATGTTCACGTTATCACAGATGATCCTCAAACTGTGATGTAATCACAGATGAGGGAAAATCAGGTCAGAGATTAAATATTTGCTTAAGGGCACAGACGTGGCCATCTTGGAAATATGGTAAGCAAAAGCATTACCTTCAAAGTCACTTGAGAAAAACCAATGTTATTTAAAAGGGCACATTTCACAATAATCCAAACATTCATTTCTGTCACAATATATTTTTTGAAGCTTTCACTTCGTACCGTATTGAGCAACATGGCCAATTACTTCATCCAAAAATTCTGTAGCACAGTAAATTCTCATTAATCAAGATTGGCCAGGGAAGCTGATGTATTTATTGAGTCACCACAGAAGAGTATCAATTTCTACTTCTTCCTGATTTAGTAGAAAACAGCCCATTTACTGCTGGGCCAGCACTGGTTGTTTTGAAGGCCAAATTTCTCATACCTTTTATAATAGCATTGCCCAACAGAACTTTCTGCAGTGATAAATGTTTTATATCTGTTCTGTCCAACGTAGCAGCCACCAATCACATGTGCTTATTGAGCATGTAAATGTGGCCATTTAGACTAAGAAACCGTATTTTTGTTTTTGTCTTAAATTAATGGAGCCACACATGGCCAGTGGCTACTAAGGAGTGCCTTACTTCACTTAAATCAGAATAGGAAATGGAAGGTCAAGATCTCATAAGGACACTGAGGTTAGAAGTATGAAGTCACCTGCTAGTAAGTTAGTAAGTTCCTAACTAGTGGTCCTTCCACAAGGACTTATTCACAACAATATTATTGCCTTTCCACCAACTGAAAAAAGTTCTCAAACTCGTTTCTGTACAATATGCCTAATGAACATTTTAACTTTCTAATCAAGCATGAAATACCATTAATTATGTCCTTCTGCTTATAGTTCCACCTTTAGTTTTGGCACGCTAAAATCTAGCTGCCCTTATTTTGAACAGTGTTGAGTATAAGGAAGGAAAAATAAAGCTTCTAGAGCTTGATGAAGCGCATTTCCCCAGAAATAACCTCTCAATATGATCATAAGCCACATAAAAGAGCTTGCCAATGTTAACCTGCAGGTTCTTTGTAAGGTAAGTGAAAAACCACCACTACTTTTTTGTGGACAAATTCTAACAATTTACTAAGCAAGTCATTTGGATTGTGGACTTTCTTTTTAAGGAGTTTAAGTATCTTAATAAAAACATAATCCTTTCCTTGAAGATCTTTAAAGAAAAACTGAATAAACAATTTCCCAAATCTTTCTGAACCTTAAGAAGCTCAAAGTGAAATTTAATGGCTTGGCCATTCATTCTAAAACTGGTTCTGCTCATCAGCCCTTATTTGTATACACTATACTGGAAATAAAGTGAGACTGATTTCTCTTGAACATTTTACTCCTATAAGCAGTATTTCTAGAGCCCATAGGCCACTTTCCTGATAAACATATTAAATACATAATTTTGACACAATAAAGCTGAAACAAGAATAGATAGATGGCAGGCAACGAACCAGTTTTCAGCCCTGGCTCTGTTGGCTTGCTATATGAGCTTGAAGAAGTTTTAGGTTTCTGAACTTTAACTTACTCCCATTTGAAAAAGGCCACTGTACCTACCATCAAATTCCTTTGGGGAGTGAGGGAACACCAAATAAGATCTGTAAAAAGGGCTTGGAAAATTATATTGCTATATACTTTGTCTTTTTTTTTTTTTTTTTTTTTTTTTGAGACAAGAGTCTCGCTGTGTTGCTCAGGCTGGAGTGTAATTGGGCGATCTCAGCTCACTGCAACCTCCACCTCCCGGGTTCAAGCGACTCTCCTGCTTCAGCCCTCCTGAGTAACTGGGATTACAGGCACGCACCACCATGCCTGGCTAATTTTTGGATTTTTTTGGGTTTTTTGTGACAGAGATTCACTCTTGTTGCCCAGGCTGGAGTGCAGTGGCGTGACCTCCGTTCGCTGCAACCTCTGCCTCCAGGGTTCAAGCGATTCTCCTGCCTCAGCCTCCAGAGGAGCTGGGATTGCAGATGCCCACCACCACGCCCAGCTAATTCTGTAGTTTTGTAGAGATGGGGTTTCACCATCTTGGCCAGGCTGGTCTCGAACCCTGACCTCAGTGATCCACCCACCTCGGCCTCCCAAAGTGCTGGGATTACAGAATGAGCCACAGCACGCGGCCTGTTCTCATAATTTGTTTGATAATATCTAAGATTTTTGGAAGCAGTCATTTGCTACCACTCTGTTGGCTATTTTTTAGGCCCCTTAAATCTCATTTTAAAAAAAGCGACACCACTGGCTGGGCATGGTGGCTCACACCTGTAATCCCAGCACTCTGGGAGGCCAAGGCAGGTGGATCACCACCTGAGGTTTGCAGTTCAAGACCAGCGTGACCAACATGGTGAAACCCCATCTCTACTAAAAATACAAAATTAGCCGGGTTTGGTGGCACATGCCTGTAATCCCAGCTACTTGGGAGGCTGAGGCAGGAGAATCGCTTGAACCCGGGAGGTGGAGGTTGCTGTGAGCTGAGACCACGCCATGGCTCTCCAGCCTGGGCAATAAGAGGGAAACTCCGTCTCAAGAAAAAAAAAAAAAAAACCACAACAAAAAAACACGACACCATAAATCAGAGGCAATTTGTGGTCAGTTTGCAACATTATACCAACATGTAAACAAGCATTTAAAATGGGTGATTTCTCAAAGATCTGCTCTGACCAACAGCTAACTTTAGTTAGCTGCACAAAGACTAGATTCTTCTTACCTCTCCTTTCTCTCTGCATCCTTCCTCCTCCTCCAAAAAACATATCAAAGATGTCCATGGGGGAGCCAAAACCGCCACCTGCTCCACCCTCTTTAATTGCCTGTTCTCCTCCTTTGTCATATAATTCCCTTTTCTTTGCATCAGAGAGAACTTCGTAAGCTTGAGAAATCTGTTTAAACTGTTTGAGAAAAGAGGAGTGAATTTCATTTTTTAAAAAACAAGTGTTACCTAGCTACATTACACTTGATCTTAGCTAAAAAGGCCGAGAAGTGATCATAGTTACTATATTAGATACTCGATTTCAGGCCATAATAGAAATACTATACGTCTGGCAAAGAACTATTCAGATACGTTTAAGAGTAGATACTATTCACCTTCTCTCCTTCATTTGGGTTCTTATCAGGATGGTACTTCAAAGCCAGTTTCCTATAAGCCTTTTTCAATTCTTCCTGAGTAGCATTGGGTTTGACCCCCAAAACATCGTAGTAAGTTGTTTCTTTCACCATCTTCTACTGCCTGAAATAAGAAAATGCAACTTTAACCGGCTTTCAACTGGTAGCTTTTAATAAAAAAGAGAGCTAAGGCCGAGCAATCTCTTTGCAAAATCCGATTATAAGAACACCACCTTCCCTAAATTTCACCAAAAAGGTAACAATTCCTGCGATAATTCAGCTATAAACTCGAACAGACAAAACAAATAATCATTATCGGGAAATAATCTGAGAGCCGCCTTCTAGCAGCTGGTTCCAATTTTCCTACACCAAAGCTTCCATACTAATATAACACAACTATTATCTGGATTCTTCCCGTTTGCCCTAGAGGCGGTGACAGTTGTAACCAAAAGAAGCACTGATATGTTCAGTCTACCGGTCATTACACTATCACTGTCTTTGGCAAATCTGATAAACTCCATATACTCTCCAGAAAAAGACGTCTGGGCACACAGTGGTGGGGGGGAGTGGTTTATAGAACAGGTTACTGGCTCCACACAGCAAGCCCTCCACCGCCCACGGCTTACAGCTTCTCCAGCCGAATCCCTCTCGCCCCTCAGGCTGGCAGAGTTTACCTGCCAGGTTTCCCCTTGCACTTGGCGCTGACCGATTTCCTTCCTTTCTCCCTCCCACCCTGGACCCAAGTGGCGGTGGGGAAAGCCCAGCCCTCAACAAACAAAGGGAGGGGAAACAGAGAAAGCGAAACCAAAAGCCGCAGTCTCCGCCCGGCTCCCCCCGCAGCCCCTCGCCCCTGCCTCCCTGTGCGCGTGCGCAGGGTCGCCAACCCCACTCCCCCCCCCCACCCCGAGCGAGCACGGACGGGGAGGGGGGCCGCGGGGGCGCGCACGGAGGGGCAGCCGAAGACAGTAGCTCCTTGGAGATCCCAGGCTGGGGAAGGAGGGAGGTCTAGGAAAGGTCTCGGGCCCATTCACTGTGCGTGCCGGGGATGGGTTGCCAGGGCACCACACCAGCCCTCCAAAAGGGAAATCGTGGGCCCAGGAACTGACAGCGGTCCTACCCACGCGGCCAACTGCCTCCCGACCGCGGCTCCATCGGTTTCCCGGCGCCAATGGCGCCAGCCAGGGGACTAGGGGCAGCGCGAGGGCTCAAACTCACCGGTGCGGGCTGAGGCCGGTGTGTGAGGGAGCGGGAAGGAGCGCCGAGCTGTGCGCAGCCGGGGTAGTTACCGCTCCTCCGCCTCTCACCGAGCGTTCTGGAAAGTTCCGCCCGGCGCGCCGCAGCCGTCCTCTTTTGTAGCCGAACCCGGGCGCGTCACCCGCCGGAAGTCCCGCCCTTCTCGGCCGCTGCCACCGCCCCGCCGTTACCTGGGCAACGGCGCGGGGGCGCACGGGTCGGGAGGAGCTGCGCCGAAAGGCCTTGTGGGTGTTGGTGCTAGCGCGGCTTCCCGGCGCTCGTGGAATCTTCTGGAGCCCTTTTCTCCACTCAGCGAGCCTGAGAGTGCGGAAGTCTCCGGCTGGTGGGGCATGGCCCAGGAGCACTGCAAGTCCTAGGGTTCCCAAACCTGTGGGGTGGCCGCCTGGGCCCGCGAGGGCGGGAAGGGCTCGAGTACAGTGACCCAGCGGGAGCTGTGTGTGAACGGGAAAGCTCTTGGAACAGTCTTGCCCCCCCCCCCCCCCCTCTTACGGGCGCCTCTTCTCTTTTTGGGAACGTGGCGAGCAAAAAATGCTTGAGCCAGGTGGGTCTAGTCCCCAGACCAATAGCATAGGCCTTGGGTCTTGCTGTTTTTCACGCGTGGTCCAAGGCGGCATAATTAATCAAATTGTGAAGTTGTTAAGGCTTTTTGTGCAAGTCCAGGCCCCTAGACACATGTTATCTGCCCTGGACCTCGCTGATTCGTGCAGATTGAGCTCAGTGTGTCTGGGACTGAGCTAAACAGTGAGACGTTTGGACCGTCTTTGATGTACAGAGGGCCGTGGACTCCTCTGGTCAGGTTTTCACCCAGTTTGGCTACAGAGTAGCCGCAAGAGTGTCTGACTAAAACAATTTGTTTAATTATTTGACCTCACTTTTAAATCCTACGGGTCAGGGAACCTGGATGTACAATCTGCAACGTAAGACCTCGGACTTGAAAATGGTACCACGGGGGCTTAATGGGAATTGGGGTCCGCTTCTTTATCCAGGGACACAGCAGGTATGTCAGTATCTAGCACCAAGAAAGATGGAGTTTGCCACGCTCGGTGGCTCACGTGTGTAATCCCAGCACTTTGGGACGCCAGCGTGGGCTGATTGCGTGAGCTCAGAAGTTTGATACCAGCCCAAGCAACATGGTGAAACCCCGTCTCGATTTAAAACAAAAACAGAACTGGAGATGCAGAGTTGAAAAGCCCCAGTTAGACTTTAGTGAGAAGCCAAACAAGTCAACAGACTGCCAGAGAAACCATGAGGTAGAAGTCAGTAGGGGAGAGCCTCCTATATTAACCTGATAGATCAGAGAGAATTTCTTTGGGAAAGTGGCAATTGAGCTGAGTTTTGAAAATGGGAGGAGAGCAGTGGACAAAGCACAGGGGAAGGCTATACTAAGGTGTGGAAGAATATGATGTTTTTAGGAAATTGCAACTAATTGGATATAGCCATAGCTAAGGGAGCTAGAATAGCCGGAGGTGAGGCTTCAAAGCTAGTTAGGGCATGCCTTTGTCTGTTGGTATATATGCTACGCTAAGAATTTTGAACTTTATCCTTGGAAGCATCCTCATGCTGCCTCTTCAGCCTTTTCTCTTTCATTAATTTTAACTGTGCATTCCAGTCACAGAACTATCCGCAGTTTCCCATATACGCCTTTTCACCTTTGTATGCTTTTGCATTGGCTGACAGACACCTGATTTTTTTCAATCTTAGGTGTTGCCTTCTCAAGTATCACCTCTGGTATAAAGTTTTTTGTTTAAACCAACCGTTAATAAACGTCTAATATTACCAGGCAGTGTACTAGGGCTTTGTAATACAAAAATCACGTAAGTCAGGCCGGGCGCCGTGCCTCACACCTGTAATCCCAGCACTTTGGGAGGCCAAGGTGGCGGATCACCTGAGATCCGGAGTTCTAGACCAGCCTGGCCAACTTGGTGAAACCCTTCTCTACTAAAAATAGAAACAATTAGCCAGGTATGGTGGCACGTGCCTGTAGTCCCACCTTCTCAGGAGGCTGTGGCAGGAGAATCGCTTGAACCTGGGAGGCGGAGGTTGCAGTGAGCAGAGATGGTGCCGCTATACTCCAGCCTGGTTGACAGAGCAAGACTCTGTCGAGTCTCAGAAAAAAAAAAAAATCACATAAGTCGTGGTCCCTGCCTTCAAGGAGCTCACAACATAGGGAACCAGAAACAAACAGTTGAGTGTTAAATGCTAATAAAGGAAGAGTAGGGGGTGCATGGTGGCTCAAGCCTGTAATCCCAGCACTTTGGGAGGCCAAGGCAGGCGGATCCCTTGAGTCCCGGAGTTTGAGACCAGCCTGAGCAACATAATAAGACCTCGTTTCTACAAAAATTAGAGTTAGTGTGGTGGTGTGGGCCTGTACTCCCAGCTACTTGGGAGGCTGAGGCAGGAGGATGGACCTGGGAGGTCAAGGCTGCAGTGAGTGGTGATTGCACCACTGAACCTCAGCCTGGACGACAGAGCAATACCCTGTCTAAAAACGAAACTAACAAAAAAGTTAACACTTTTAAGAAGCATTCTTACGTAAAATAAAATAAAAAAACTGGCAATAACTTTGTATGTGGTCTTCGTTTGTACAGAAATGGGATCATTATACAAGCTGTTTACAGCTTGCCCTTTTCACTTTGTCATCTTACTATGCCAGGATAAATAACTAATCTGCCTTGTTATTTTTAATGGCGTAGTATGTAGGCACCGTAATTTATTCCCCTACTGATGAATATTTCAGCAATTTCCAGTGTTTTACAAACTGCTGCAGAGAAATTAGCAAATACAGCTTTGAGTACTCATGCAAGTATTTCTGTTGGATGGACAGCTAGAATTGAAATTGCTGAGTCAACATGAATGTAGATTTAAAATTGTAATAAATAAGTTTCCATACTGGTTTGTAACTGCTTCCAGCAGTGTGTGAGTGGGCCTTGCCAATATGAGGGCCTTTTGTTGTTAAATCTTTGCTAAGCTTGGAGATAAAAAGTGATATCTTATTGTTTCGAGTTTCTTTGTTAGTAAGTTTAACCATGTTTTAAATGTTTACTGACTCTCCTGTCAACTGTTCATATTATTTTACCATTTTTCTGTGGTGTAATTCCACTATTTTAATAATAGCCCTTTTAGGGGTAGATATTAGTCTGTCATGTGTTACAATTGTTTTCTTTAGTATATTCTTCGCTTTTTACTTAGTATCTATATATATATTTTTCGGCCATATAAAGATTTTAATTTTTATGTAGATAAATTGTGACTCTTCCTTTTTGGCCTTTTTCTTCTCTCCACCTTCCCCTTCATCAGTCCAGCATTATAAATATAAATCTGTTGTCCCAGGTTTACAGGTTAGGTCTAGTACTTTCATTGTTTCCCTTTTTTTTTTTTTTTTTTAAATTAACAGCCTTGATGTGTTGCCCAGGCTGGCCTCGAACTCCTAGGCTCAAGTGATTCTCCTGCCTCAGCCTCTTCAGTACTTGGGACTACAGACACCTGCCACTGCATCTGGAATCATTGTTCCATTTTAAACTTAAATTTTTTATTCCATCTGAAAGTTATTTTGGTGTAAGGACTGAGGATTATTTGTAAGTAACTGATCTTTATTTTTCTCCAAATGGCAAACTAGTTTGTCTAACACTAATCTTATTTTTCCTGACTAATGTGAAATCCGCCCCCCAACCTTTTTTTTGTATGTGCAGAGATAGGGTCTTCCTATGTTGCCCAGGCTGTTCTTGAACTCCTGGGCTCAAGCAGTTGTCCTGCCTTGGTGTCCCAAAGTGCTGGTATTATAGGCGTGAGCCACCACACCTGGCCACCACTTTTAATGTATACTTAATTTCCACTGAAATACATGGTACTACTTCCCTTCATTGTTCTTGCTTTTTAGAATATTCCTTGTATTTTTTTTAATATGTTTATTCTT
Organism: Homo sapiens; assembly: GCF_000001405.40. NCBI lineage: Eukaryota > Metazoa > Chordata > Mammalia > Primates > Hominidae > Homo > Homo sapiens. The sequence continues at coordinate 33,021,431 of NC_000009.12, read as the reverse complement.
CCAGAGGAACTTAGGAATATTTCTGGCAGATTCCCCCCAAATCCCATTGTGAGTTTTATTGTGATTACAGTGATTTTATATATCAGTTTGGAGAGAATTAACACATTTAAAATGTCGAATCTTCCTACTCATGAACATATAACTGTATATTTATTTTCTTCATTTTTTAAACTAGGTCTTCATCATTTCTTCTTAAATGTGTTACTAGGCATTTTTTGTTGTTGCTGTCATGGATGGCCTCTTTTCTTACCATTATATTTTATTTCAGTGGGATATTTCATACTTTCTTTTTTTTTTTTTTTGAGACAGAGTTTCTCTCTTTTTGCCCAGGCTGGAGTGCAATGGAGCCATCTCGGCTCACTGCAGCCTCCGCCTCCCAGGTTCAAGCGATTCTCCTGCCTCAGCTTCCCAAGTAGCTGGGATTACAGGCATGTTCCACCACGCCTGGCTAATTTTGTATTTTTTAGTAGAGACAGGGTTTCTCCATGTTGGCCAGGCTGTCTTGAACTCCCAACCTCAGGTGATCTGCCCGCCTCGGCCTCCCAAAGTGCTGGGATTACAGGCGTGAGCCACCACGCCTGGCCAATAACTCAATAACCACATGGCCGTAAGTGTTCATAGAGGTAGCTGGAGATGGCTGGAGGCCTGGCAGGAGCAAAGTAATAAGGGCTTGGGCATTATGCTAAAAAGTTTGAATTTTGTTTTGAAGGCTCTTGAGAGACACTGGAGGATTTTAGGGATGGGGTGATATAACCTGTGACAGCTGACTTTTTGTTTCTTTTCTCTTTCCTCATCTGTTCTTTCTTTTGTGAGGACCTGCCAGGCACTGCGCTAAACACTCTACAAACGTTGCCATATTGTTATCCTCACAGTAACCCTTGTTTTAGAGCTGATTTGATTACATTTAAATTTCACAATAATCACTTGGGTGCTAATGCGAAGGTTGGATTCTTAGCAGGTTTTTATGGTGAGCGATGAGATCAGAAATGATGAGGCCTAAATAGAAGAAATGGAGAGGGAGAAAAATAAACACAAATATAAAAACATGTAAAGTCTTCAGGTAGAGTCATGATGACTTGATGCAGAGGTAGGGAGGAGGAATGACTTCCAGCTTTCTGGCTTTAGCAACAGGATGGTTGGAGATCCCCTTCCTGGGGTAGGGAGCCCAGAAGGAGGAAGAAGCCAGGGTAGGAGCAAAATTGGGTGAAGGAAAAGGTGAGTCCAGGTTTGAATGAGTACAACTACAGCTATACTTTTTTCTTTAGTTTACAAAGAAAAGGAGTCGGAGCCAGGGCGGTTATGTGGGACGTGGATGCAGACGCAGGCGGAGGCGCCAACTGCGGGGATGGCTAGGGTGATCACAGCTGCCCCGGGGGCGCGGACACCCCGGCAGCTCCGGCCAGCGGAGCTCCCCCACCGCACGTGTCAGGTCCTAGCAGAAACGCAGCGTCTGTGGCCAAGGGCCAGGAATGCGGCCGCACATATTCACCCTCAGCGTGCCTTTCCCGACCCCCTTAGAGGTGGAAATTGCCCATGGGTCCCTGGCTCCAGATGCCGAACCCCACCAAAGGGTGGTTGGGAAGGATCTCACAGTGAGCGGCAGGATCCTGGCCGTCCGCTGGAAAGCTGAAGACTGTTGCCTGCTCCGAATTTCCCTTATCAACTTTCTCGACCATCTTTCTCTGGTGGTGCGGACCCTGCAGCACTTTGGGCCCCCAGTTTCCCGCTAAGCCTGGCCTGGGAAAATGGGGCGAGGTCTAACCTTGCGTCTCCTCCTAGGCAGTGCATCCATCCTCCCTAGGGCAGGGAATTCCCACAGTTGCTACTTTCCCGGGAGGGCCTCATGGTCGGCCTGTACTGCCTTTGTGTGCTCAGGGGTCCCTTGTTTTCTCTGGTTCTTAAATGTTTGTTACCACAGAAAATAAAACTGAGCTACTATTAAAAAGAAAAAAGAAAAATTTTTATCGGCACAAAGTGGAAAGTAAATCCTAACTGAAATGCTATTTTTTATGTTTGTATAAATTAATTTAAATTTCTTAGAATATTTAGTTTTTAATTAACTGGGGCCAGACTTTTATTTATTTATTTATTTTTTGAGTAGCACCAATTTGTTGTGGTTCTTCTCTTCTGACTACGTACAATTTCAGTCTTTTTTATGAACTCTCTCCTTCATTCCTACCCCCACTCACCACCCTTCATTTTTTTAAACTGAACTTTATATTTAAGAATAGTTTTAGATTTGCGGAAAAGTTGTCAGGATAGTAGAGTTCCTGTTATTCCGCACTCAGTCTTAACCTATTGTTAAAATTTACATTAAAATGGTACAGTTCCCACAACTAATGAATCAACGTTGATACATTATTATTAACTAAAGTTCGTTCTTTATTTGGGTTTCTTTAATTTTTCCCTTTTCTGTTCCAGGATCCCACCAAGGACACCACATTACTTTGAGTTATCATATCTCTTTAGTCTCATCTTGACTGTGACAGTTTCTCAGACTTTACTTATTTTTAAGGACCTTGACAGTTTTGAGGAGTACATATCTTTCTTTTTGAGATGGAGTCTCGCACTGTTGCCTGGGCTGGAGCGCAATGGCGTGATGTTGGGTCACTGCAACCTCCGCCTCCCAGGTTCCAGCAATTCTCCTGCCTCAGCCTCCCCAGTAGCTGGGATTACAGGTGCCTGCCACCACGCCTGGCTAATTTTTTGTATTTTTAGTAGAGATGGGGTTTCACTATGTTGGCCAGGCTGGTCTTGAACTCCTGACCTCGTGATCCACCTGCCTCGGCCTGCCAAAGTGCTGGGATTACTGCATAAGCCACAGTACCTGGGGAAGTACAGTCTTTTTTTTTTTTTTTTTTCTGAGACGAAGTCTTGCTCTTGTCCCCCAGGCTGGAGTGCAATGGCACAATCTCGGCTCACTGCAACCTCCGCCTCCTGGGTTCAAGCGATTCTCTTGCCTCAGCCTCCCGAGTAGCTGGGATTACAGGTACCTGCCACCACGTCTGGCTAATTTTTGTATTTTTAGTAGAGACGGGGTTTCACCATGTTGGCCAGGCTGGTCTCAAAATCCTGACCTCAGGTGATCCGCCCACCTCGGCCTTCCATCGTAGTAGAGATGGTGAAACCTCATCTCTACTAAAAATACAAACATTATCCAAGGTGTAGTGGCACGTGCCTGTAGTCCCAGCTACTCGGGAGGCTGAGGCAGGAGAATCACTTGAACCCAGCAGGCAGAGGTTGCAGTAAGCTGAGATCGTGCCACCGCGCTCCAGCCTGGGTGACAGAGTGAGTCGTCTCAAAAAAAAAAAAATTAAATAAAAAATAAAATTTTGGTTTTCATTTCTGACTCCTGGCCAGAGGTCCTAAAACCGTTGAAATTTCCTAAGTGATAAGAGTGAAAGTGGTATCTTGTTATTCATAACAAGCCCCTTTCAATCACATCTGAGATTATATTAATGAAGTGACTTTTGGAGAGCCCGAAAATGGGAGGGGGGGGGGGGCGCTGGTTGCTAGGGCAACTAACCAAGTGATTAGAGGATTGGAACTTTCAGCCTCACACTATGACCTCCAGGGAGGAGAAAGGGGCTGGATATTACCAGTGGGCAATGGCCTAATCAATCATGCTTACCTAATGAAGCCTCAATAAAAAAACCCTAACCAAAGGAGTTTGGAGAGCTTCCAGGTTGGTGTTGGAAGGATTGAGCTCCCGGAGAGGGCCTTGAAGGTCCGTATCCCTTCCCCAAACTGAGAAATGTAAGAATTATTTCTAAGTTCTGTGAGCTGTTCTAGCAAATTATTGACTCTAAGGCGGTTGTGAGAACCTCTGTGCTGTGGTCTGAATGTTTGTGTCCTATCAGAATTCATAAATTGGAAATCCCCAAGTTGATGGTATTCAGAGATGGGGCCTTTGGGAAGTGACTACGTCATGGGATTAGTGCCCTTACAAAAGAAACCCAGGAGAGCTTGTGAGTCCCTTCTGCCATGTGAGGACAGCTCTGTCTACAAACCAGGAAACAGGCCCTCACCAGACACCCATTCAGCTGGTACCTTGATCCTGGACTTTCCAGCTTACACAAATGAGAAATAAGTTTCTGGTGTTTGTAAGCTACCCAGTTAATGGCATGTTATAGCAGCTCAAATAGATGAAGACACCCCGATTCATAGCCAGTCTATCAGAAGTACAGGAGACCCTGGACTTGCTATTGGTATCTTAAATTGGAGGTAGTCTTGTGAGACTGAGCCCTTAACCTGTGGGATGTGCAATAATGTTGGATAATTAGTGTCCACACTGAATTAAATTGTAGGATACCCAGTTGGTATCTGCAGAGAATTAGAGAATTGTTTGGTTTGAAGCCCCTCCACCCCCAACATTTGGTTCAAAGTATTATGAATAGAGGAACAGTTTTATTTGTAGGCAAAGATTTTTGTCTGTTTTGTTTTATAATATATCGCAAGCATCTAGAACACTGCCTGGTACAGAGTTGGTACTCAATAAATTATGAATGAATATGCATTTTGCCAGAATTTGTGCCAGGTACTGGGCATATAGTTGTGAAAAAGCGGAGATGGTTCCTGGCCTCTTAGAACGTCCAGCCCAGCACTACACAGTCTGGTGATTTTTCTGCCTGCCTGGGCTGCCCTCCTCTAACATCAGAGTGCCTAATTGCTGAGCTCAGAGTAGACTTTCCTCTTAGCAGTGAGTACTTTTCAGATAGTTTTGTTTTTCTGCTTTTTTTAATTCTAAAAAAATGGGGGGGGGAGTGTAATGCATTCTATTTAGTCACTCTAAGTTAAAAGTCCACAATTTTCCTCAATACAGAGACAAAATAGTGTTGTCTTTAAAGCTCCAGCCTGGTAGAAAGCCGAAAGAAGTCGTGAGGTACATTCAGTTTACTTTTTCTTTCCTTTATTTTTTTAAACCTAAAGGAAGATGGTTGTAATGTTTTATACTACCGAAGAGTGAAAGGATATGCAGTAAACATGTTTATTGCTGTCTTTTTTGTAAACTGGATTGCTCATTTATGAGATCCTGACCTATTTCTTGAGATCTTCTGTGTGCTGTTTGTTGAAATGAATTTTTACATGGCTAAAACGCTTAAGAAAAAAAGCTAAAATTGAGTGTATTGAGAGAGTATCTGCTGGTTCACCACACTTCAGATGTTGTGTCAGCAACAATACTTTCTCTCACCCTGTTCTCACACAGGCAATCACACCATCACGGGAAACTCCAAGGTTGGGAATATACCTGAAAAGTGGAAAGAATTCGGGAAGAATACTGCTGCACAGATATGAGACTGAACAAAATGACTTTTAATAGCCCTTCAAAATCTCAGACTCTTGGTCTAGATAATACGAACTCCTAGATACCATTTGGCAACGTTTATTTAAAAAAATTCAGTTGATAACATTTTGTGTATATACATCTTCTAGATAATTATTTTAATTCTTCACCTCACCTTGTCAAATGTATTCTAACTTAAGTTTGATATTTCATCTGAATTTCCTTCCCTGCACAAAAATTCAGATGCGGATATGAATTGTTTTGCCCCATAATCTTGTTGTCAGAAAAAAATTGATGAAGGGAAACTCTCATGGAAATAGCTTTGATTAGTTATAAACAACTTCAGTGTGTCCTATAAGCCCATGATATGACATCAAGATCTACTCTGTAAGATTAAAAAAAAGTTTTCTTGCATGCATGTGGCAGCAACCTTGTTTTAAGATTGGTGTATTGTGGCATTCTCAGCAAAACACAGAACAAAAGAAAATACAGGCCGGGCGTGGTGGCTCACACCTGTAATCCCAGCACTTTGGGAGACTGAGGCAGGCAGATCATGAGATCAGGAGTTCAAGGCCAGCCTGGCCAACATGGTGAAACCCTGTCTCTACTAAAAATACAAAAATTAGCAGGGCATGATGGTGTGCGGCTGTAATCCCAGCTACTCGGGAGGCTGAGGCAGGAGAATCACTTGAACCCGGGAGGTGGAGGTTCAGTGAGCTGAGATCGCGCCATTGCACTCCAGCCTGGGCAATAGAGTGAGGCTCCGTCTCAAAAAAAGAAAAGAAAAAATACAACTCAGGCAATGACCCTTATGCAAGATCTTCTCTAATGCCTTTGATAATTTATAAGGCGTTATTATTTGTGTTCCCACATCACGCAGTGTACACACTTCCATCATAGCATTTGTGCAGATGTGTATAATGTATTATAAACATTGAAGGCAATGCTTTCATCCAGAAGGGTTTACAGCCACTTCCAAGGATACAACAAACAGAGACAATATACCCCAAGATGCCATACATTAAAAGTGTGGAGAATGAAAAAAATAAAAACACGGGTAGTAACAAAATGGAACCAGAGACAAAGCTAAAAGGCATACAAGAATGACCTTCACATTTGATACAGCTGGGCCATGAATTTGTCTCTAAACTGACAACCTCATTGGTCCCACAATTCATGGTATCTGAAGATAAAACATCAATCCAGTACTCTGGAGAAGTAAAACTATTCCTAGAATGGAGATCAGATTGGAATGTCTCCCAGGGATGCTTATAAAGAGCACATTGTGTTATGTGAGGAGCAGTGTCCTTGACAGTATCCCTGACCGGGTGACCAGTGTAGAGGGATGCCTCTGATGGCAGCACAACAAAGGGCAATTTGCTGAGCTACAGCAATACTTCTAGGGTGGAGGACTGTCTTGGTGATCATGGCTTAGCAATGTTTTATCTCCAGCACCTAGTATAGTAATTGGCATATAGCAAGTGTCAAGAAGTGTTTGTTGAGTGAATGTCTAACGGACAAGACCCAGTTTAAGGGCCCCCTTTAGGGCGGCTCCCCTGATTACCAAAACCTGATGTCCTGCTCCCCAGCTATGCATCCTTTTGTTAAGGATGTCCTGCTGCTCCCCAGCTATGCATCCTTTTGTTAAGGATGTCCTGCTGCTCCCCAGCTATGCATCCTTTTGTTAAGCTGTTAAGTGGTACAGCTATGGAATATTTATTCTACTGTTGGGTTAAACTGCCATTTTCTACCACCTACCATGATTTCTAATAAACTGCCCTTTAGATATTTTTGTGTTAAATTTCCCACATCTCCAAATATGGGAGTGAGGCCAGGGGTGTTTGTTCATACACACTTGCTGGTGGTGGTAGTGGTGGTTCATCAAGAAAGTCCTGTACTTACCAGACTGAGAGGTCAGTCCTCAGGTAACCTTATGAGTGCTATTGGCTTAGACTCCTACATCCAGGTTGTCCCTCAGAGCAGAGGCAGGGCTGGTAATGGTGCCAGAGTAGGCCTTTGCCATCAGTTTCTGTGCTGAGCATTGGGAAGACCTAGGCACAAGCCACAGTGGTATCAGCATTAAAAGGGACTCTGCACTGAATTAGCAGCTACTGACTAGGGTCTCTTTACACTCCTGTTGGGATATTGCAGTTGGGTTGAGTGCATAGGTTGGAGTTCAGTTACTTTTAGCTGCCAGATTTACAGCCCTAGGGGTGAGGCCTGATGTAAAAGTCTTTCTTCCTGGTGGTTGCCCCCACCTGTCATTTCTTTCATCTCCCTGTTATCATTGACATTGAAAAGGCATTTTAGAGCAGGAGCTTGGTCTTGTTTTTGTTTTGTTTTTTAGACGGAGTCTTGCACCGTCGCCCAGGCTGGAGTGCAGTGGCGCAATCTCGGCTCACTGCAAGCTCCGCCTCCCGGGTTCACACCATTCTGTCTCAGCCTCCTGAGTAGCTGTGACTACAGGCACCTGCCACCATGCCCGGCTAATTTTTTTGTATTTTTAGTAGAGATGGGGTTTCACCGTGTTAGCCAGGATGGTCTCGATCTCCTGACCTTGTGATCTGCCCGCCTTGGCCTCCCAAAGTGCTGGGATTACAGGCATGAGCCACCACGCCTGGCTCTCCATGAGCAGCTTCCTACCTGCCTAGTCATGATGTTGTCTTCATCGTGAAGAAGTTGTGATGAAGATAACTGTTCATCTGCTGTGTAACTTTACCTTTTTCTTTTTTTCAACAGCAATGGCACTGTCAGATCTAGGACAGGAAACTGGGAAAGGCATTGTAGTGGCTAACAATACAAATTCTGGAAACTGAATCCTGGCCCCGCCACAAACAAGTTACTTATTTTTTCTGTGCCTCAATTTCCTTGTCTGTAAAAGTGGATAATAATAGTATCTAGCTCATAGAGTTATTGTGAAGAGTAAATGAGTTAACATGTACAAGGTGTGCAGAAGAGTATCCACATATAAATAAACACTAGTAAATGTTTGCTAATAGTAATGGTCATAGAAATTATCCTATTCAAACAGAGGAAATAGTAGAGCTAGTAAATCAACATTACATTGATTTACTAAAATATTGATTGAGTACCTACTATATGTCAGGGTGTTTTCTAGGTCAGTAAAACAATGTTGACTGTGACAGACACAATCCCTTTTCTCATGGAGCTTACGAATGAGTGGGGCACAGACATTAACATTTACACAAGTATATAAGGCAACTCTTCTATTAGGAAGTTGAGCCTTGACCCAGATTTCAGACAATCTTATGACTTCCAGAACGTGGTAGGAATAGTGCCCCCACCCTTTTTCTAAAAGGGAGTGTTCTGGTTATCTAATGCTGTTTAGCAAGCTGCCCTCAAAATTGGTGACTTAAGGTAGCAATCATTTATTTAATCAGAATTCCGCAGTTGGGGCAGGGCTTAGCAGGGATAGTGCATCTCTGTTCTGTGTAGCAACTGCTAGGGTGGCTTCCCTAGGGCTGGAGGACCCACTTCCAAGCTGGGTCACTCATATACTGGCTGTTACTGGCTGGGAGCTCTGCTGGGACCTCTCCTTCATGTGGCTAAGTTGGGCTTCTTACAGCATGGCAGCTGGATCCTTTGAACAGGAGCACCCCCAGAGGATAGGCCACAATGTGTAAGCAGTTATTAAGGTTCTGCTTGTATTGTACTTGGTAGTGTCCCATTGGCAAAAGCCAGTCACTCAGCCAAGTCCAGTCAATGTGGAAGGGGACTATGGAAGGGTAGGAATTCTGAAAGGGGAGAATCAATTAGGTCTACTAAAGTAATTGGCTACCACAGAGAGAAAGGCTAAGTATACATTTTCTAAAAAATTTTGCGTTCTTTTTTTTTCTTTAATCATGTATGCTATATCCTCTCTCTCTAAAATATCCAAGAAGTCATACAGGTGAAAAGTAAGGTCTCTTGTGAATCAAAGCCCTTTGGAGGGTGGTTAAAATTTTTGTTACAGGCCTCATAATTTAGGAGCAATATTATTCTATGAAAGCAGAAGTTTTACTGTGGTTAAACGTATGGTGAAGACAGTTGTTGAAATAGTATTATTTTCACATAGACAGCTGGAGCTTTGCTTGTGAAAAGAATGACAAAGTAGGAGTGTCTCGGGGTTGTCTGAATGGTGTAAATGTGTAGACATTCAAATTTGTTGTCAAGAGGGACCAAACCATGCTCAGGAAAATGCCACTGGACGTCCAGTCTGAAGTGCAGTAAGAAAGACAAGTGGGAGAAAGAGCAGCAATGCAATATTGGAAAGACTAGCAGTAAGGAGACTGCAGGTTCAGGAGAGTGGGCTCAGCACTGAGGCTGTGAAAGGTGAGCGTGTCCTGCAGCTGTCCTCAGTAGACTGAAAGCTCCTTAAGGGGAAGGGCTGTGTCTGGCTTGTTGACTCAACATGGACCCCACTGCGTGACACAGAGAAGGCACTCTTAAGTGTTTGATGAATGGATACATTTAAAGAAACGCAGAATTGGAAACCATTCCCTCTCTTTAAGATTCTGGTGCCATAAAATAATTAGAGTAACCTTTTAAAAAATATGGCACTTCGGGCGGGCGCGGTGGCTCATGCCTGTAATCCCAGCACTTTGGGAGGCCGAGGCGGGTGGATCACAAGGTCAGGAGTTCGAGACCAGCCTGGCCAAGATGGTGAAACCCCGTCTCTACTAAAAATAAAAAATTAGCCGGGCGTGGTGGCAGGCGCCTGTAATCCCAGCTACTCGGGAGGCTGAGGCAGGAGAATTCCTTGAACCTGGGAGGCGGAGGTTGCAGTGAGCCAAGATCGTGCCACTGCACTCTAGCCTGGGTGACAGAGCAAGACTCCATCTCAAAACAAAAAAAAAAAATATGGTGCTCCACTGATTAAAATCCTTTAATGGTTTCTCATTTCACCCAGATATCCACATGACTTTTTTCTTCTTTCAGGTCTGTGCTCAAGAGAGGCCTCCCACACTACCAAGACATCCTCACCACTTTTTTTTTTCTTTTTTTTGAGACGGAGTCTCACTCTGTCACGCAGGCTGTAGTGCAGTGGCACGATCTCAGCTCACTACAACCTCTGCCTCTCAGGTTCAAGCAATTTTCATGCCTCAGCTTCCCAAGTAACTGGGATTACAGGCGTGCACCACCACGCTCTGTTAATTTTTGTACTTTTTAGTAAAGATGGGGTTTCACTATGTTGGCCAGGCTGGTCTCAAACTCCTGAGCTCAGGCAATCCACCTGCCTTGGCCTCCCAACGTGTTGGGATTACAGGCGTTAGTCACCACGCCCGGCCATCCTCACCACTTTCTATATCCCACTTGTTTTTTCTTTATAGCATTTATCCTCACATGACCTGTATCTTTCTTTTCTTATGATCTGCCTCACCCATTTAGACTGTAAGATCCTTGAAAGCAGGAACTTTTTTTTTTTTTTGGAACGAGGTTTCACTCTTGTTGCCCAGGCTGGAGTGCAATGGCATGATCTTGGCTCACTGCAACCTCTGCCTCCCGGGTTCAAGCGATTCTCCTGCCTCAGCCTCCTGAGTAGCTGGGGTTACAGGCGCCTGCCACCAGCCTGGCTAATTTTTGTATATTTAGTAGGGACGGGGTTTCACCATGTTGACCAGGCTGGTCTTGAACTTCTGACCTCAAGTGATCCACCCGCCTCAGCCTCCCAAAGTGCTGGGATTACAGGTGTGAGCCACCACGCCTGGCGAACGCAGGAACTTTGTTTTGTTCACTGTGGTAGCCCCAGCTCCTAGAGTGATTCCTGACATGTAGAAGTTGCTCAGAGTTGAATGAATGAATGAATGCGCCAGCCAATGGAGAGCTAGAGTTGCTTTGGTTTCATCTGACTGGAGGCCAAGACCCTGAGACTGTGGGATGTGGGTATCCGTGTGGGCTCCTATAGCCATGTCTCTCCCAGTTGACTAGTAAGAGGAGCTGGTCTGACGGTGCCAAGAGCCCAGGCCCTCCTGTTCTGGGAACTACTATTGCCTGTCTGTGATTGTGAGATTGAGGGCCCAGATACCGTAAGGTTCTTATGGTTTGGAGATGGTGCAGAAGGCAGCCCCATCAGTCTTTAAAGTAGCCAGAGAAGTTTTCTAAGTTTCAACCCAGGACTCTTGACTGAATGGGTTCAAGAAATTGAAGGAAAGGCCCTGTGTTTGGGCAAATAGGCGAGGAGAGAGTGGTAGATGAGATTAGAGAGATGGACAAGAACTTCTGTAAAACTGACCAAACAAGGGAGTTTATTCTTAATTTGATGAGCATTGGTAAAGGATTTAAGCAGGGGAATGACATGATCAGGTTTGTTTGTGTTTTGAATTTTTTTTCCCTTTTCTTTTCTTTATTATTATTTTTTTTAGAGACAGAGTATCGCCCTGTTACCTGGGCTGGAGGGCTGGAGTGCAGTGGCATAATCATGGTTTACTGCAGCCTTGGACTTCTGGGCTCAAGCAGTCCTCTTTCCTCAGTCTCTCAAGTAGCTGGGATCACGGGCACATACCACCGTGCCCGGCTAAGTTATTTATTTTTTATAGAGAGAGGGTCTCACTTTGTTGCCCAGCCTGGTCTCAAACTTCTGGTCTCAAGCAGTCTTCCTGCCTCGGCCTCCTAAAATGCTGGGATTACAGGCATGTGAAATATTTTCTCTAGTTGCAGTGTGATTGGATTGGAGGGGACAAGAGTGAATTAGGGAGAAAAGAAAGAATAACATTCCAGAAAGAATAGCACGAACATCAAGGAACTCAATATACTGATGTATTGGGGTGGGGGAAAGGGTAGGAAGTTCAATATTGCTGGTACAAGGCTGGGACTAAAGAGGTGGTGGAAGGCAAGGCAGGTTAAGTAAGTTAGAAGGCATTCCTGTGCCTTTCTTCTTAATGTTTATAAGAAATTTCAGGATAGACCACTATAAGATCTGTGATTTACACAGATCAGCATTGCTGAATTGAAATAAAATTTTCCACAAACCACCAATGATATGAATGTCAGTGCTTGGGATTACAGTAATCATCTCCTAAACTCTTAAAAATTAGATCCTTGAAAGAGTTAAGAGTTAATAAGATTCAAGAAATCAGCACATAGTGGGAGAAGTTAACCAGTCCTAAAAGCAGGAGTTGAAAATAATAGAGGGTAAATTATAGTTGGAAGATTTTAAAGTGAATTTACAGGGTGTAGTTTTTATGAATACCTCATCATGTTTACACTGTAATGTATAGAACAGAACTGCTCAACTGGTGTCCCAATTACAGGTATGATTACCAAGAATTTGAAAAGATTATCATTAAAAAATCAATCAGGCCAACGCGGTGGCGCACGTCTGTAATCCCAGCACTTTGGGAGGTAGAGGCGGGTGGGTCACCTGAGGTCAGGAGTTCGATACCAGCCTTGCCAACATGGCAAAACCCCATCTCTACTAAAAATACAAAAATTAGCCGGGCATGGTGGCACATGCCTGTAATCCCAGCTACTGGGGAGGCTGAGGCAGGAGAATTGCTTGAACCAGGGAGGTGGAGGTTGCAGTGAGCCAAGATCGTGCCACTGCACTCCAGCCTGGGTGACAGAGTGAGACTCCATCTCAAAAAAAAAAAAAAAAAATCTTAATCAGAAGCTGTGTGTGGTGGTTCACACCTGTAATTCCAGCACTTTGGGAGGCCGAGTTTGGAGGACTGCTTGAGGCCAACAGTTTGAGACCAGCCTGGGTAACACAGTGAGACCCTGTCTCTAATTTAAAAAAAAAATCTTAGTCAGAAATTGTATAGCTATTTTATCATGAAACCTTAATATCATAAAGGTTATATTTACAGAAATATGCTCAATTTCCTCATCAAAAAAAATCTAAAAATATTTTACTTGGATATGTAGCCAAAATCAATGTTATTTTCCCCAATACTTTGTTGTTTATTTATATTATTATATATAATTATAAAGAAAAAATAAGGAAATTTTTTTCACCAAGCTCCTCATAGGCCTCCCCTCAGATTTACCCCCATGTGTTCTGCAAATATTAGAATTTTATCTTTGTGCCATGACATAACGAAGTTGGGAAGCAGTAGGAGGTTAACTTATCTAAAAAGTAAATAAAATGATACTAGAAAATAGGAGGAGTGCATTAGGTTGGATTCCCCCAGAGCAGACAGTGTCACAAGGATTTGGAATGCTGGTACTTTGGAGATGATCTCAAGAATTACCAGCAGGGGAGTGAAGAAGTGAGACAGGGATGGGAAGGAAACCAGCAGAGGACGGGTTGATAGGCAGAGTACCCCTCTGGGCAGCCTGGGCTCAGTCTTGGTGGGGAGCGTTGGGGAGACAGTGTAGTACACACATCAAAGTTGTTTCACCCTAGGGGTGAGAAAACATGTTTACCTACTTTTTTTTTTTAATATCGTTTTCATTACACTTAGTAGCATAAATCCCCTCACTTTAGACCTGTATATGGTCAGAGAAGGCAATGTCGCAGTTCTTGCAGTAAGAAGTTTTTGGATATATGAAACATGCAGCTAAATTTATGTTTCGCTAGATTTTCATTCTATCACCACTAAATAACTTTTATGATTTGGCATCAGACCTAGGACTGCCTATAGAAAAGAGTATGTTTTGTCTTGTCCAGTTGATGCTGCCCCCAAATATCCCTTGAGTCAGTGAACTTCTGTCCCTTCGTTCAGGCTGCCAACGTCCTTTGCACTGCATCAGTAAACTGCTAACTGCTTTCCACTTTTCTGCTTTTGCCTTCCCCACTAGTCCATTCTTGCTCACAGCAGCCACAATGACCTTCATAAAATGAACATCAAATATGTCACTTCCTAACTAACTCTTCAGGGGTTTTTCAATGAATGATGAATCCACATACAGTTCTTAAATGGTTTACTATTGTCCTTGCTCAGGCCTCCTTATCTTCCTTTCACTAACTCCATTGGATTTTCACCTCCACTGGACTTCTAGCAACTCTAAAAGAATAATCTAAAAGCCCTGCTATTGGGCCTTTGTACATGCTCTTTCCTCAGTTTGGATCACAGACCTAGAATATTTTTCCATCAAGTCTTCATGTGTTTGTTTCCTTTCTGTCTTTCTGGACTCAGTCTAATTGTCCTTTCCTCAGATAGGCCTTTCTTTCTTTCTTTCTTTCTTTTTTTTTTTTTTTTTTTTTTTTGAGACAGAGTCTTGCTCTGTCGCCCAGGCTAGAGTGTAGTGGCGCAATCTAGGCTTACTGCAAGCTCCGCCTCCTGGGTTCACACCTTTCTCCTGCCTCAGCCTCCCAAGTAGCTGGGACTACAGGCACCCGCCACCTTGCCCGGCTAATTTTTTGTATTTTTAGTAGAGACGGGGTTTCACCATGTTAGCCAGGATGGTCTCGATCTCCTGACCTCGTGATTCGCCTGCCTCGGCCTCCCAAAGTGTTGGGATTACAGGTGTGAGCCACCGCACCCGGCCAGATAGGTCTTTCTTGACGCCCTCACAACCCTCTCCCTCTCTACTGTTTCTCTGGAGAACTCTGACTAATACAGCTTTCCCCAAATGCCAAAACAAAATGAGGTGTCCCAGCTATACTCTCTCTCAGAATTTCATATTTTTCCTTCTGAGCAAGTCTCTGGACCAGGCAACCACAGCCTCTGGCTTCACCTGCTTTTCCCTTAGATCAGGTAGGTACTCTGCCTCCAACTGCTTTTCCCTTAGAGCAGGAGTCTCAAAATCTTAAAGAAAGAAGGGCTTTCAGGGGGCCAGACAGGTTATATAAGTGAGTGGGTGGAAACAGTGGCAAACTGGAGAGCACATGGCAGCTATTCACAATTCTAGCTATTTGTTGTTAGACTTGGCTAGATTTATTGATTTTTCCCCCAAGAGATCAGGAATCCTGATTTTTAAAAAAAATTCTTTTTATTAAAATTTTTTTTATAGAGAGAGGGTCTTGCTATGTTGGCTGGGCTGATCTTGAACTCCTGGCCTCAAGCAATCCTCCTGACTCATCTTCCCAAATGCTGGGATTACACACATGAGCCACTGAGCCCAGCCAGAATCCAGGTTTTCATGTGAGATCTCATTTCTAACTGTTGGAATTAAAACAAACAAACAAACAAACAAACAACAAAACCCTGAGCAGAGTAGCCAAAAACAATCTTGAAAAAAAAAAGAATAAAGTTCTTATACTTCCTGATTTCAAAAAGTATTACAAAGCTATAGTAATCAAAACAGTGCAGTACTAGTGTAAAGACAGACATACAGACTGATGGAATACAATAGAAATCCCAGAAGTAAATCCTTGCATAAATGATTAAATGATATTCAGTAAGTATGTCAATACCATTCAGTGAGGAAAGGGCAGTCTTTTCAACAAATGATATTGTTAAAATCTGGGTATCCACATGCAAAAAATTGAAGTTGGAGCCTTACCTTACATAGTACAGAAAATGAACTCAAGGCCAGGCACAGTGTCTCACACCTGTAATGTCAGCACTTTGGGAGGCTGAGGCAGGAGGATTGCTTGAGCCCAGGAGTTCAAGATCAGCCTGGGCAACATAGCAAGACCTCTGTCTCTATTAAAAAAAAAATTAGCCAGGCTTGGTGGGACATGCTTGTAGTCCCAGCTACTTGGGAGGCTGAGGTGGGAGGATTGTTTGAGTCTGGGTGGTCAAGGCTGCAGTAAGCTGTGATTGCATCACTGCACTCCAGCCTGGGCAACAGAGCAAGACTCTGTCTCACAAAAACAAAAACAAAAACAAAAAACAAAAAAATAAAACCACACCTCAAAAATGGATCAAAGACCTAAACATAAGACCTAAAACTATAAAACTCTTAGAAAACATAAGGGAAAAGTTTCATGACAGATTTGGCAATGTTTTCTTGGATATAACACCAAAAGACAGGCAGCAAAAGTAAAAATAGGTAAATTAAAGTACTTCACAATTAAGTTTTGTGCATCCAGGGATACAGCCAGCAAGCAGAGTGAAAAGCACCCTATGAAATGGGAATCTTATATTTGATCAGAGGTCAATATCCAGAATATATAAAGAACTCCTACAACAAAACAAAACAAAAATAACCCCATTAAAAAATGAAGTACTTGAATAGACATTTCTCCAAATACATACAAATAGACAGGAAGCTTATGAAAAGATCAACATCACTAATCATTAGGGAAATACAAAGCAAAACCACAATGAGATACCATTTCACACCCATTAGGATGGCTGCTATCAAAAAAAAGTAACAAGCGGCCGGGCGCAGTGGCTCACACCTGTAATCCCAGCACTTTGGGAGGCCGAGGTGGGTGGATCACAAGGTCAGGAGTTTGAGATCAGCCTGGCCAATATGGTGAAACCCCATCTCTTCTAAAAAAAAAAAAAATACAAAAATTACCCGGGTGTGGTGGCAGGCACCTGTAGTCCCAGCTACTCAGGAGGCTGAGGCAGGAGAATCGCCTTAAGCCGCGAGGTGGAGGTTGCAGGGAGCCGAGATTGCACCACTGCACTCCAGCCTGGGTGACAGAGCGAGACTCCATCTCAAAAAAAAAAAAAAAAAAAAGGGTTGGCAAGAATGTGGAGAAATTGGAACTCTTGTACACTATTGGTAGAAATGTAAAATCATCCAGCTGCTATGGAAAACAGTGTGACAGTTCCTCAAAATATTAAAAATGGAATTACCATATAATCCAGCAGTTTCACTTCTGTGTATATATTCAAAATAATTGAAAGAAGAATTTTTAAAAATTGTTTCACATTAAAAACAAATTTCAGTGGCTTTAGGGGTACAAATGGTTTTTGGTTTCATGGATGAAGTGTATAATGGTGAAGTCTGAAATTTTAGTGTACCTATCACCCGAGTAATAGTTACACCCAATATGTAGTTTTTTAAAATCTCTCATCTTCCTCCCACTCTCTCCACTTCTGAATCTCCAATGAACATTATACCACTCTGTATGCCTTTACATACCCAAAGCTTAGCTGCCAATTATAAGTGAGAACATGTGGTATTTGGTTTTCCATTCCTGAGTTACTTCACTTAGAAAAATGGCCTCCAGTTCCATTCAAGTTGCTTCAAAAGACATTATTTCATTCTTCTTTATGGCTGAGTAGTATTCTGTGGTGTATATGTACGACATTTTCTTTATGCATTCATCAGTTCATGGGCATTTAGGTTGGTTCCATGTTCTTGCAATTGCAAATTGTGAAAACAGGATCTCAAAGAGATATTTATACACTCATGTTCATAGCAGCATTATTCACAATAGCCAAATGGTGGAATATCCACGGGTGGATGAATGGATAAAGTATGGTGTGTACATGCAATGGAGTGTTATTCAGCTTTAAAAAGGAACTTTTTACACATGATACAATGTGGATGAAACTTGAGGACATTATATTAAGTGAAATAAGCCAGTCGCAAATGGGCAAATACTGTCTGATTTTACTTACATGAGGTACCTAGAGTGGTCAGACTCATGAAAACTGTAAGTAGAATGGTGGTTGCCAGGTGGGGGAGGGAAAATAGGGAGCTATTTAATCGATACGGAGTTTTTTTTTTGAGGCAGAGTCTTGCTCTATCGCCCAGGCTGGAGTGCAGTGGAGTGATCTTGGCTCACTGCAACCTCTACCTCCCGGGTTCAAGCAATTCTTCTGCTTCAGCCTCCCAAGTAGCTGGGACTACAGGCGAGTTCCGCCACGCCAGGCTGGTCTTGAACTCCTGACCTCAGGTAATCCACCTGCGTTGGCCTCCCAAAGTGCTGGGATTACAGGTGTGAGCCACCGTGCCTGGCCGAGTTTCAGTTTTTCAAGATGAAAAAGTTCTGGTGATTAGCATGGCAATATGAAGTGCCTGAAAGTCTTCACTGCCTGCCATACCTTTAGCTATACATTGTGCCATGTGATCTTGCTTTTCTGGCCACTAATACACTATAGACAATGGACTAGGCCTAACAAGCAGGACGTGGAAACTCTGCCCAATTTTGCACATTATATAGTGAATGATGTAATTAGAATGATCCAATCCAACTTTTGGATGCAAGACACACAAAGGCAGGTCAAAGAAGCACCCTTAACCGAGAGGGATGCTTAATTGAGGGAACAACAAAACTGGTCAGGTCACCAGAGTTGCCTCTTTTTATCTTGGGCAGTTGTGAACAACATTCCTCAGCTGTAAGGCCTGTGTGGCTGCTGAGATGCTGCTTGTGTTTTCCCACTTCCTTATATGACCCTAATATAAACCTGCATCTTCTCTGCTAACAAAAGCAAGCCTGTCCTCTGTGTTTCTTGGAAGATCCTCCCACCTTCTGTCTTGAAGGCTCTGATAGCTTCATCATACCATTAAGTCTCTGCTTTTCCATGGAAGGAAACAATACTCCACCTTGATGAAGAATGTGACTCCTTAAATCTCAATTTTGTTAAAGAAAAGATTATTCAATGATACTTGCTGAAGCATGGTAAGGAAGACTTTATTCAGGAACTTCATGATAGGTATATAGAGCTCACTGCAACGGGGTTTTGCAGTGGAAGAGAGATTAGGCTCAACTCCAAACAGCAGCATGGGCAAGTGGGCATTTATGGCCAAGGAGCTGTGTAGGGGTCAGTGGATGGAAAATTACTAAGAGGAAACATCGGGGTAAAGGAGTTTCTGGCTAAATATACCTAACAGGATTCTTGCTGGAGACAGGCCAAGGTAATCAGACATCATCTGGGGGATAGTGGAGAATAAGGAACCTGATCAGATATTGAGAATAACCACATAAGGCGGGGTGGTGGTGGTGGTTCTTGGTAAACTGACTTAGCCAGGGTCTGTGCTAAAACTGGATTTTACAGGGAAGTGCACAGATGGGCCTAGCAGAAAATTCAGAAACCTAATTCAACCAAAGAATTTTTGCCAGTGTGTTGTACTTGAGAAAAATTATAAACTATACTTTTACCTCCGAGATAGGGATTGTTCCTTCTGCCAAAATGCCTTTGAATAACTGCAATATGATTCTTAGGGAACTTTCTGGAATTGCTGTAAAAAATCAGTACACGCATCTTATCCCTGCATCTTGCTTTTTTTCTCCCGGATTGCCCCTCAGTTCATTTAGTGTACACAGCACTACAAAAAACAGGTTTCCCTGCCTCTTACCGCTCCATTCTTTCCTCCCTGCACAAAGGAGAAAGCGGACTGTAGTTTAAAAAGCAAGTAGCAGTGCTACAGCAGGTTGTCTGCAGCAGGAGAGATGGCCTTAAAGGTTGTGAACGTCTCCTTATGGAGTATCGAGAAGCTGCACAGCCACCTAGAAACGTCCACAGAGGGATTGGGTCTGAAATGTCACCCAATTCAGAGACTGTGAGGCAGTGACAGGCGAGTGGCCCTCAGGCAGAGAGATGCTGAGAGAGCTGGTCCCCACAGGCATAACTTCCAGGATCCTCAGTTGGACCACGGCCCAGAGAGAACCCAATTGGGGCGGACGCTTTTTGATCTGGGAAGTGGGCAAGATTCTTTCAGCCAATCCGTTAGAGAGGTGCTGGTGACGTCACTGGTCGCGATACAGCCGGCCTCTGACGTCATCCCGCAGCGCCGGAAGCGGTGAGGCACAGATGAGTAACGTGAATTTGTCCGTCTCCGACTTCTGGAGGTAAGGCGGTCGTCAGCCTATCTCTTCTGCTGGCTGGGCTCAATGCCGCGGGTGAGCGTTCGGCCGAGGCTGCTCCTACCCTTGAGTGATGTGCCTTGAATGACGCTGCTTTCATGCGCTGCTCTCACGGCTGCTTTCTCCGTCCTCCCCTGTTACTACCTTGGGCTGTTTCAGCGGGCGCTCGCGTTGGTCTTCGACCCACTTTGCGTTTGTTCACGTGTGCTCCCGACACCTGTATGTACCTTGGTCGCAACACAAGCCGAAAAAATATTAGAGAATGGGCCCTGTCCAACCAAGGAGGCGGCCCAGCTTGTCGGGAAGGGCAGCGTTTCCGCCAGAAATGCTTCGTGAAAGGCACTTGAGGGACCTTAGCAGCATCCTCAACAGGCCTTGTAGGGAATGCCAGAAGAAGCAGTCCTTGGCCGGGCGGGGTGGCTCATGCCTGTAATCCCAGCACTTTGGGAGGCCGAGGCGGGCGGATCACCTGAGGTCGGGAGTTCCAGACCAGCCTGACCGACATGGAGAAACCCCGTCTCTACTAAAAATACAAAACTAGCCAGGTGTGGTGGCGCATGCCTGTAATCCCAGCTACTCGGGAGGGTGAGGCAGGAGACGTTCTTGAACCCGGGAGGCGGAGTTTGTGGTGAGCTGAGATCGCGCCATTGCACTCCAGCCTGGGCATGCCAAGAGCGAAACTCCGTCTCAAAAAAAAAAAAAAAAAGAAAAAAAAAAAAAGCCTTTCCCCATACATACCAGTGATAGTGGCTTAACAAAGCAGGGATAAAATTTCTATTTGGAATTGCTGTGATCTAGGTTTGGAACTTTTGGGGATTGTTCATATGTGAGACAATACAGATTTGTGCTCGTTCTTCTTAGTTACACAGTTATTACTTTCTTTTTTTCTTTTTCTTTTCTTTTCTTTTTTTTTTTTTTTTTTTTTTGAGACAGAGTCTCACTCTGTTACCCAGGCTGGAGAGCAACGGCGTGATCTCGCCTCACTGCAACCTCCGTCTCCCGGGTTCAAGCTATCTCTGCCTCAGCCTCCCAAGGAGCTGGGATTACAGGCGTGTGCCACGACGCCTGGCTAATTTTTTGTATTTTTAGTAGAGATGGGGTTTCACCATGTTGGCCAGGCTGGTCTCAAACTCCTGACCTCAGGTGATTCGCCCCCCTCGGCCTCCCAAAGTGTTGGGATTACAGGCGTGAGCCACTGTGCCCAGCCGCAGTTATTGCTTTCAAATGATCTTTTTATATGTCCACAGCTCCTGCTTGCCCTACCTTCGCTATTAACAAGAGTGATAATAGTGTTGAATGCTTTTTATCAGACACTGAGCTTTACATACTTTGTCCTTTAGCTCTTGTGACAACCCCATGGTGTAGAGCAATTGTTAATACCGCTTGACACTTGAGGGAATGAAGGCTTGGAGAGGTTAAATAACTTGCCTCAAGTCACACAGCGAGTAGGTGGTAGAACCAATGTTTGAATTCAGGCAGTCCAACTTCAGAGACCTTGATCTTCGCCACTGTTCTATATTGTTTTTCTTCGACTGTCCATTAAGCTCCCAGACACCTACTCTTTGTTACCTTTTATTTTTATTTTTATATTTTTTTGAGACGGAGTCTCTGTCGCCCAGGCTGGAGTGCAGTGGCGCGATCTCGGCTCACTGCAAGCTCCGCCTCCCGGGTTCACGCCATTCTCCTGGCTCAGGACTACAGGCGTCTACCACCACGCCCGGCTAATTTTTTGTATTTTTTAGTAGAGACGGGGTTTCACCGTGTTAGCCAGGATGGTCTTGATCTCCTGACCTCGTAATCTGCCTGCCTCGGCCTCCCAAAGTGCTGGGATTACAGGCGTGAGCCACCGCACCCGGCCTGTTTGTTACCTTTTATTTTATGGAGAAAATTAGGGTCATGAGATGTGCTTTCCCTCACATTTCTGCCTCTGCTTTCCCTTTTAAAGTCATCAAGATTTATACCCTTTTCCTTTTGTCTCAGAGGATGAATTGTCTCTCTAATCAGAGCAGTTTCTTTATGTTTGCTTCTGATATTTTATGCTGTCACTTATGAGACCTTGTTTTCATTTGTCATTTCTGTTTCCAGTCGTGTATAAACAAGGCCAGGTTTCTCAGATCTCTGACACTTCCCGTTGCCGAAGAAAGAAAAACTCCTTGGTGGTCCATTATAACTTTAGCTGTCATCCAATAACTTTCTTTCTCTTTATATCCAAACTGTTTTAGTGAGTATTCTGAACTCTGCCTCCATTTCCTCACCTTTTGTTTCCTTCTGTATCTAGCTCTCAGACCCATCATTCCCCTGAAATTTCACCCCAAGGTCACCAGTGACTATTGTCAAACCAGATAAAAATTTTTTGATTATTACTGGATCTCTTTGCTGCTTTTGGAACTTGGTCATCCCTTTACTCCCTTCTTCTTTGCTTTACGTGTCAGTGCTCTCAGATGATTTATTCAACAAGTATTGATTGGGATACAGAGATGAACAAGACAGATAAATTGTTTTCTCTTAAGGAATTTACATTCTAGCTGTTCTCCATGTGCCTTTCTTACCAGTCATTTCTGCTATGGGTAGTCATTTTCCTCCTTCCCTAAAATGTTGGGTGTTTCTGTTGTTTGTGACTTTGGCATATAAACAATGAAAAACTGTTCTTTTTTTTTTTTTAGCTTGACCAATTTTTTTTTTATACTTTAAGTTCTGGGATACATGTGCAGAACGTGCATGTTTGTTACATAGGTGTATACTAAGTGCCATAGTGGTTTGCTGCACCCATCAACCTGTCATCTACATTAGGTATTTCTCCTAATGCTATCCCTCCCCTAGCCCCTCACCCCCTGACACGCCCCAGTGTGTGATGTTCCCCTCCCTCTGCCCATGTGTTCTCATTGTTCAACTCCCACTTATGAGTGAGAACATGTGGTGTTTGGTTTTCTGTTCCTGTGTTAGTTTGCTGAGAATGATGGTTTCCAGCTTCATCCATGTCCCTGCAAAGGACATGAACTCATTCTTTTTTATGGCTGTATAATATTCCATGGTATATATGTGCCACATTTTCTTTATCCAGTCTATCATTGATGGGCATTTGGGTTGGTTCCAACTCTTTGCTATTGTTAATAGTGCTGCAATAAACATACATGTGGATGTGAAGCTTGACCAGTTTTTATAAAATGATTATACCTATGTGACCACCATCCAGATTAGGTTACAGATACATAATATTACCAGCATTCAGAATGAAAACTGTTCTTTTCATTCTGTACACATTGCCTGAGTGAACCCATCAGCTGGCTTGGTTTTAACTACCTCCTACATGCCCCCAAATTGAAATTGTCAGCTTAGACCTCTCTGAGCTTTACCCTCACATCTGACTATCCTCCTGGACAGCTCTGCCTGCAAGTCCCACAGACACTTCAAATTCAGATGACTGAAACTGAACTCAGTGTCTTTCCTGGACTTAACTCTTATCACATTCATCACTAAGTCCTGATAGTTTTACCCCCTAAACATCTCTCAAATCTGTGCAGTCTTCTCCATCTCTACTGTTGTCCTTTTACCTGCAATATCATGGCCTTCTAACTGATTTCCCTGCTTCTAGGCCTGTTCCCCCATATCTTTTCTTCACATTACTCCCCTCCACCCCCAGATGGTCTTTGGAAACAAGTCTGTATCAAATTCCTGCTTAATCTTTAAAGATCTGTCCATGCATTCATCCATTCTTTTCTCTAATTCATTCAGCAAACATTCATTGTCTACTGGCTTGCAAAATCCATTGAAAGTTCTAAAGTTTGAGCTTCTCAGCCAGGGCTCTGCCTGTTCTGAACCCTGCCTGTATCTCCAGCCTCTTCTCTGCCTCATGCTTTAGGTTCCAGCAACACTGAATGGCATCTTCATGGGTACTGTGCTATTTCTTCTTTGTGTACTTGCCCTTGTTCTCTTTGCTTGGAATCTTCTCCCTGTTTCCTTTCTCCACCTCCTGCTCCTCACCTAATTAGGCTGCTCCTTTTCACCTAATTAACCCAGTTTATAAATGGGACTCAGTTATAAAGTTTAGGTCCACCTCCTCCAGGAAATTTTTTCCTGACACCTCCTTCCTCCCAATCTCGGTTGGGTACTCTAGCATTGTGCTTCCACCCTTTGCACAGAGCAATCATCATGTTTACCACATCTACTATTAACATAATTGTTTGTGTTTTTCTCCTCCACAAGATTTATTTTTTTTAGATGAGGTGTTGCTGTGTTGCCCAAGCTGGACTTGAACCCCTAGGCTCAAGCAATCCTTCCACCTCAGTCTCCCAAGTAGCAGGGACTACAGGTACGTGCCACCATGCCTGGCTAAGGCTGAGTTTTTTGAAGGCTGGGCTCATATATTATCTCTTTATTCCCAGTACTAGAATGGCACAAGATACACAGGAGTGTAGTAATTTTGACTGAACGATCAAATGAGTGAAGCCAAAAGTTATATGATGCAGTGGTTAAGAACCCATTCTTTGGAATTCAAATTGTAGTTCTGGCACATATTGGCTATGTGACTTGAACATGTTACTTATCTTCTCATCCTGAATTTTCTCTTCTCAGAATGGAGTTGTGAGTGTTAAAATGAGACCATGTAAGTAAGACATTTAGCATAGTGCCTAGCACATAGTATGCACTTGATAAAGGTGCTGAAAACCGGGGGATCCTGGAGTAAAGACTAGGCCTGGCCCAGGACAGTGATCTCCCGAAACCCCTCCTCATTGTTTTGTGAATGCGTAGGCAGTGATGCAGTCTGTTAGCAGGGAGATTATAATCTTGTTTGGAAAGTAGAATTACATCCACATTAAACAGTCAGAGAACTGTGAAGGTAGTTTGACCACATCCAATAATAAGATGTAGAGAAGAGAAGACAGCTCAATGAAGGCTTTAGGGAGGAGGTGAGGCTTGAAAGTTAAATAGGATTTGGGTTTTAGGAGAAAGGAATACCAGGAGACCATATTAAGAATGACTTAGGCCAGGTGTGGCTCCTACCTGTAATCCGTGCACTTTGGGAGGTCAAGACAGGAGGATTGCTTGAGGCCAGGAGTTTCAGACCAGTGTAGGCAACATAGTGAGAACCCCATCTCAAAATAAAATAAATTAGCAAGGCATGGTGGTGTGTGTCTGTAGTCCCAGCTACTCCAGAGGCTGAGGCTGGAGGACCACTTTAGCCCAAGGAAGTTGAGGCTGCAGTGAGCTGTGATGACGCCCTGCACCCAATCTGGGCAACAGAGTGAGACCCTGTCTCAGAAAAAAAAAAAAAAGAGCGATTTATTTGGGAGATGCTGTTCAGTATATTATACTTGAAGGGTATACATACAGGCATACCTCAGAGACGTGGGTTTGGTTCTAGACAACTGCAATAAAGTGAACATATGCATGTTTTGGTTTCTTAGTGCATATAAAAGTTATGTTTATACTATACTGTAGTCTGTTAAGTGTGCAATAGCATTATGGCTGAACAAACAATGTACACACCTTAATTAAAAGTACTTTGCTAAAAATTGCTAATAGTCACCTGAGCCTTCAGTGAGTTGTGATCTTTTTGCTGATGTAGGGGGGGTCTTGCCTTGACGTTGGTGGCTGCTGACTGATCAGGGTCATAGTTGCTGAAGGTTTGGATGTCTGTGGCAATTTCTTTTTTTTTTTTTTTTTGAGACGGAGACTCGCTCTGTCGCCCAGGCTGGAGTGCAGTGGCGCGATCTCGGTTCACTGCAAGCTCCGCCTCCCGGATTCACACCATTCTCCTGCCTCAGTCTCCAGAGTAGCTGGGACTACAGGTGCCCGCCACCACGCCCGGCTAATTTTTTTGTATTTTTAGTAGAGACTGGGTTTCACCGTGTTAGCCAGGATGGTCTCGATCTCCTGACCTCGTGATCCGCCCGCCTTGGCCTCCCAAAGTGCTGGGATTACAGGTGTGAGCCATAACACCCAGCCCTTTGTTGGCGTTTTGGTAATGTTCATTACATCTTCATCAGGAATAGATTTCATCTCAAGAGACCGTTTTCTTTGCACATCCATAAGAAGCAACTCCTCATCCATTAAAGTATGATCATGAGATTGCAGCATTTCAGTCACATCTTCAGGTTCTACTTATAATTTTAGTTCTCTTTATTTCTGCTATATTGGGAGTGACTTCCTCCATTGAAGTCTTGAACCCCTGAAAGTCATCCATAAGGGTTGGAATCAACTTTTTCCAAACTCCTGTTTATGTTAATATTTTGACCTCCTCCCATAAATTACAGATGTTCTTAAGGGCATCTAGAATGGTTGTATCCTTTTCAGAAGGTTTTCAATTTACTTTTTCCAGGTCCATCAGAAGAATCACAGTTGATAGCAGCTATACCCTTATGAAATGTATTTCTTAATTAATAACACTTGAAAGTCAGAATTACTCCTTGATCCATGGGCTGCAGAATGGATGTTGTTTTATCAAGCACGAAAACAATATTTATCTCCCTGTATAATATATCTCCATCAGGGATCTTGGGTGCATTGTCAATGAGCAGTAATATTTTGAAAGGAATCTTTTTTTTATGAGCAGTAGTTCTTAACAGAGATCTTAAAATATTCAGTCAGTCATGCTGTCGTCCAGGCTTTGTTGTTCCATTTATAGAGCACAGGCAGAGTGGACTGAGTATAATTCTTAAGGGCCTTAGGATTTCTGAAATGGTAAATGAGCGTTGGCTTCAGTTTAAAGTCTCCATCTGCATTAGTCCCTAACAAGACAGCCTGTCCTTGAAGCTTTGAAGTCAGGCATTGACTTCTCTCTACCTGTGAAAGTCCTAGATGGCATTTTCTTCCAGTAGCATCAAAGATCAAAGATCACTGATCACAGATCATTGTAACAGATATAATAATAACGAAAAAGTTTGAAATATTGTGAGAATTACTAAAATGTGACACAGAGACCTGAAGTGAGCACATGCTGTTGGAAAAATGGCACTGAAAGACTTGCTTGACACAGATTTGCCACAAACTGTCAATTTGTAAAAAATGCAATATCTTTCAAATGTAATAGAGCAGAGCACAAAGCAGGTATGCCAGTATGTATGTGTTTCTTGGGGAAGAGAGGAGAGAGAGGGATGGGCAAGTGGGACTAGTTCTGTGAAGAGGAACGGGAGGTGAAATACATAAGCACTGTGGAGTTACAGTATGATGAGCTTAACTTCAGGCCTGAGGGACTTGAGATGGATCAGGGCAGGGCAAGTTTCCAGGACTGTGGTGGATATTATGGTAGCCCCCCAGCCACGTGGAGTTATTTAACTATTAAGTAAAAAATGTAGTTTCTCTGTTGTACTAGCTACATTTTAGATGCTCGATTGTCACGTGGTGGGTAATTTATTGGACAGTTCAGGTTTAGAACATTTCCGTCATTGCAGAAAATTCTATTGGACAGCACTATTTGAGGTTACCTGATTTCTGGCCTTGTGTGGTCTATCAGATCACTTGAGTTCTTTAAGGAATAATCAGAATTTCTTTCTGACGGATCCCCTCAACTCTAGAATGAAAGATATAGAGCTGGGCCGGGCGCGGTGGCTCACGCCTGTAATCCCAGCACTTTGGGAGGCCGAGGTGGGCGGATCGCCTGACATCAGGAGTTCGAGACCAGCCTGGCCAACATGGTGAAACCCCGTCTCTATTAAAAATACAAAAAGTAGTCAGGTGTGGTAATGCACCCCTGTAATCCCAGCTGCTCAGGAGGCTGAGGCAGGAGAATTGCTTGAACCCATGAGGTGGAGTTTGCAGTGAGCTGAGATTGCGCCACTGCATTCCAGCCTGGGCAACAGCAAAACTCTGTCTCAAAAAAAAAAAAAAAAAAAGATATAGAGGTGAAAAATAGAGAATTGGGATTTATCCACCTAGATGTGAGAATGGATGGGATTGCCCAAAGAGAGGAACAGAGCATTCCATCGTAAGAAGAGCCATAGAAGGAAGGGAGAGAGAAGGCAGGAAAGAAAACTGGGATAATTATTACTCTCATGCAGAGAGTAAATAGCATTTGATAATTCACTTGTAAATATTTATTGTATGCCCGCTGTATGCCAAGTGTTAGATTAGGTGCTACAGATATATTGATAAGCGAAAATGGACATGACCTCTATTGTCATAGTTTTCAGTTTATGGAGTTTTACTGGAGGGACTGGGTTGAAGATTCAGGAACACCCATCCTTCTGCACTTGCCATATTGTAAAACACTCCATTTCTAAAAGTTGGAATTGGAGGCTGAAACGGGTGAAGTTACTATTTAAGGTTGGTTACATAACTGTTGTGCAGTCACTACTTCAGCTTCTCAGGAAGTAGTAAAAAGGAACACCATAACTTGAGAACTTTGGGGGAATAAAGTATCTGTATTGATGGAGGGCAGAAAGGGTAGTTCTTATTATCCTGCATCTGCCAGCCATGCTCTCTGCTGCTCACTGGATTCCTCTCTTGCCCTGCTCTCAAAATCTGTTCTCTTCTGGCTTCTCTTATTGTCAGTATGAGTAGTCAGTCACCACATATTTCCCAATGCCTAGTGAAGACATATTTCACTTCTCAGTCTGTTACCTGCTCATTCATCTGTTTCCAGCAAGTGCAAACAGATGCCCCTTGGAACGCATAGCATTTAAAAGTGGGACCTGCCCATAACACCATCATCATTTGAGGCTCCAGGTTTAGGATTTTAGATTTATAGCTGACTCTTCGTGCACCTGCATCAGCTCCTTCACAGAGACTTGCTGAACTGCCTTTTTGACCTCTCTGGCTCACGTTATATTAACAGCCTCCTCACTAATCTCTGACTCTGGATTTCTCCATGCTAGACTGCCTACACACAGCTGTTAAGTGTTCTTTGGATGCTGTTGTTTTATCTTACTGTGAAGCTCAAAACCTGGCAGTTGTCTCCTCTTGATTATGGTAAATGTAAACTTTTCAGCCTAGTATTCTTTCAACACCTCTGTCTTTTTTTGTGACTCTCCGAGGCAGCTCCTCTGGTTCAGCCAACTAAGTCTGCTTTTACCCCGACCTATGGCTTGCCATTGCCGAAATCTGTGTTGTCACTTGTGCTTTTTAAAATGGAATGGCCCCTCCCACTCCATTTCTTCTTTATCAGTCCCCTTGGCTCCTAGCCATCTCTAACCAGGAGGTTTCTGGAAGCCTGTACTGGCTAATACAGGACTTTTTACCTCCTTAGTACTCATATACTCGCACTAATCTTATTCATTTGAATTTGCATCTCCTCAGCTGTCATTTGCTCACTTTGCCTTGCATTGTCTTGTCTTTGCAGATGGTAATGAAACTGATTTTTAAAAATCGGGTTTCTTTTTTCTTTGCTTATGGACATGAAACTTGTGCAGAGGGCATATGTGCTGCCTTGACTATAGGCAGGTTTCCGGGAGAGGCATGTTAGAGGCTTGAGCACTGATAAGAGTCTGGAGTCTAGAGAGGCAATCTCTCTCTGCCCATAATTCCCTGTTTCACCTCATTGGGTGATCTCATCCTCTCTCTCTTTGCCTCAGCCTCTGTGACATGTTGATGCCTCTCAAATATATGCATTTAGTCCATTCCCCTCTCTTGAGCTTCATACCCACATATCACAGCTTGAGTCTTGGATCTTCCACAGGCAACTTAAAATAATTACATTTCAATATGAAATTGGTCCTTCTCTCTTCACTTTCCTTTTTATCCCCAAATTATGTCTCCTTGTGTATTTTTCATTTTTGTTAATGGGCATCTTCCAAATTTGAAGTCTTTGGTGAGTGTCTCGCCTTTTTTTTTTTTTCTTGAGATGGAGCCTTGCCCTATCGCCCAGGCTGGAATACAATGGTGCGATCTCTGCTCACTGCAACCTCCGCCTCCTGGGTTCAAGCAATTTTCCTGCCTCAGCCTCCCGAGTAGGTGGGAGGCACCTGCCACCACACCTGGCTAATTTTTGTATTTTTAGTAGAGATAGGGTTTTACCACGTTGGCTAGGCTGGTCACAAACTCCTGACCTCGTGATCCGCCTGCCTTGGGCTCCCAAAGTGCTGGGATTACAGGCCTGAGACACCGCACCTGGCCAGTGTGTCCTTTTATTCCTTTGTCATTCCCCAAATGTCATCAGTAATTAAGTATGTCTTCCAGATTTCTCCTGGCTCTTCTTGCTCTCCATCCCCTTTGCTTCGGCCATTGTTGAGGTCTCATCTCTCTTCTGAATTTCTTGTCTCTTTCTCTTTTACTGATAGTCCACATGGCCATAAGGGTTGTTTTTCAAAAGAATATCAGCACTTCCATTGTTTTGCGCGTTGCGTATTGCACAAAATTGTCACATTCACACTTTAGAAATTGTAGGTTTGCGGCCGGGCACGGTGGCTCATGCCTGTAATCCCAGCACTTTGGGAGGCCGAGGCAGGCGGATCACCTGAGGCCAGGAGGTCGAGACCAGACTGACCAACATGGAGAAACCTAGTCTCTACTAAAAATATAAAATTAGCTGACTGTGGTGACACATGCCCATAATCCCAGCTACTCGGGAGGCTGAGGCAGGAGAATCGCTTGAACCCAGGAGGCAGAGGTTGCAGTGAGCCAAGATTGTGCCATTGCACTCCAGCCTGGGCAACAAGAGTGAAGCTCCGTCTCAGAAAAAAAAAAAAGTAAAGAAATTGTAGATTTGCATATTTATTATGACTGTCTCCTGGCAGATGGGAGTGAAATATATTGTTCTAACATCAGTATGTCATGACAGGGAAGGAAAACCTATGACACATAAAGACACCTAAGCACTAGAGAACATCTTTTTTATGTCCTTAGTTCTCTGGCAGGCAAACTCCTTCTCATCCTTTAAAACCGCACATTAATATCCCTTCCTCGTGAAGCCTTTTAAAATATTCTCCACAAGAGTCAGTCAGTCCTTTTACTGGGCTAATGCCATATTTGGTTACTCTCTTCTTGTAGTGTTTATCACATTATATTGTATATATTGGTATATGATTCTGTCTGTCCTACTGCACTCCAGGCTCCTCAAGGACAGGGACAATGTCCCTGTTTTATTCATCCTTTGACTTTCAATATGTAGCCTAATGTCCAGCACATATCAATACATGTGTAACAGGCCAGGTGTGATGGCTTATGCTTGTAATCCCAGCACTTTGGGAGGCAGAGGCGGGTGGATCACCTGAGGTCAGAAGTTTGAGACCAGCCTGGCCAACATGGTGAAACCCTGTCTCCACTAAAAATACAAAAATTAGCCAGGTGTGGTGGCGGGTGCCTGTAATCCCAGCTACTCAGGAGGCTAAGGCAGGAGAATTGCTTGAACCCGGAAGGTGGAGGTTGCCGTGAGCCGAGATTGTGCCACTGCGTGCCAGCCTGGGGGACACAGCGAGACTCTGTCTCAAAATAAATAAAATAAATAAATAAATAAATGTGTAATAAATATTTGATTGCCTAGCATGATTCAGGCAGGGAGGTAAATACTTACTCACATTATCTCATTTAATTTTCACAACAGCCTCCTGAGTCCCATCATTATCATGGTTTATAGGTGAGGAAATTGAGACTAGGGTGGTGAAGTCACTTGCCTCAAGATGAACAGCTGGTAGATCACATGCGTGGTGGCACCGGGTGTGGCCCTGGAGGACTCGTGCTAGTGGATCTGTTTTTCTAGTGATTCTTTTGTTTTGTCCCTTAGAGTGATGATGCGGGTGTGCTGGTTGGTGAGACAGGACAGCCGGCACCAGCGAATCAGACTTCCACATTTGGAAGCAGTTGTGATTGGGCGTGGCCCAGAGACCAAGATCACTGATAAGAAATGTTCTCGACAGCAAGGTAACTGGTCATAGAAATGTGGAGATTACTATGGTTATGTGGGATAGTGATAACCAAAGATGCATATTTTCTGGGTGATCTTGATGGAAAATCTATTGTCTGCCAAAAATACAGCTCAGGAACTGAGCTCTTTTAGCCAACACCAGGGCCCTATTTATTCCTGATTCTGCCCTCCCAATGTGATAATGTTCAAGGCAGGGTGGGTGAAGGTTGGGAGCAGTCAAGTTCATACTGTTACCATGGGATGGTGGAATTGAGTCCTGCCCTCCTTTCCCCAGGGACATTGCTCAATGGGCAGCAAGATGTAAACTCTGGAGTCTACAGGTGAAACCATGTCTTTCTGAGAAGTAATGGGGTAGTGCCGTCCTTTACATATTGCTTCACGCAAAGTATTATGAGACAGTGGCATCTAGCACTTGTCTTAGGGTTTAATAACATGAAAGTCCTTGCCCTCAGAAAAAAATCCTTACCATGTACCTTGTTTTTTCCTGTAAACATGCACACTGCTGGCTGGAGTGTGACCCCCCCACAGCAAGGTTTCCCAAGGGTTCTGAACTTAGAGAGTTGGCATCTGCAGCACTGATTATGATCTTTCCTATATGAGTTAATCTAAGTGGAGGGATACAAAGCCATGCTTGAGCTGAGTAGGCCCAAGATGCAGAAGCAGTGGCTGCTTCTCTCTCTGTTCCCTTCCTCACAACAGCAACTGAAGGGGCATGTATGTGGCACCCTGTCCTCTCTGGGGAGCAGCTATGGTGGTTCTTCTTTCCTCCCTGTCTCAACTCCAGATACCTTGTTCATTTATCAGAACAGGAATGCTTAATGTTACCACTTCTCACACATGCTCAGATTGTTCTGTCTCTGCAATCATCTTTCTAGAACATTCTTTCCACTCCTTCTACCCAAAGCCACCTGAGTTTCTGTTTTCCAGGAATGTGTCTTTTACTGTTTTATCTTTTAAAGCATCTAATAGTTGTTGTTTTTCCAAAATAATAGTGGAAGCCTGATTTAATCCTTGGTCAAGAGTTCGTGTGAGAAATGGATCTTTTTTTTTTTTTTTTTTTTTTTTTTTCCTCCTGAGATAGGGTCTCACTCTGTTGCCCAGGCTGGAGTGTAGTGGTGCGATCTTGACTCACTGCAACCTCCACCTCCTGGGGCTCAAGTGATTCTCCCACCTCAGTCTCCCAAGTAGCTGGGACTACAGGCATGTGCCACCACACCTGGCTAATTTTTGTATTTTTTTGTAGAGACGGGGTATTGCCATGCTGCCCAGGCTGGGAGAAACAGGTCTTCTTTTCTGGCGGCAGAGTCTGTGATCATGAGCAGGCCAGGGGTTCTGGAATAGGGAAACTTGTGGGGATTAATTGAAGCTGCCTCATAGGGATCTTGGCAATAGCTAAGGGAGTATGTACGCTGTTGGACATTTTATGGAAGGATTTAAACCTTTAGAAATTGGTAGGATTTGGAGCTCCAGCCACCTGCAATAACAGGTGATTGCTAATAGGCCTTTAAGGAAACACCACCTGTTCAGCTGCCGCCTGTAGTGAAGCTTGTTTTCTTTAGGGAAGATAGGAGCAAGTGCCTGGTTCTTTGTTGCATTTGTGTTTAACTTTTTCCAATCTCTTTCAGTACAGTTGAAAGCAGAGTGTAACAAGGGATATGTCAAGGTAAAGCAGGTAGGTGTATTTATAACTTGGAATTTTATACTCGATGATTTTCTTATGCTGTTGACTTTAGAGTGTCTGTGCCAGCCAGTGAAGGCTTCTCTGTCATGTATGGAAGTGATGGAGTAATATAGGTGAACATAAGGCAAGGTGCTTGGCATATAGTAAGTGGTTAACATAGCAGTGGCTATCTTACTGTAGGTGCTGTTGCTATTATTATAATTATTTTCTGATTGTTTATTCCATAGGTAGGAGTCAATCCCACCAGCATTGACTCAGTCGTAATTGGGAAGGACCAAGAGGTGAAGCTGCAGCCTGGCCAGGTTCTCCACATGGTGAATGAACTTTATCCATATATTGTAGAGTTTGAGGAAGAGGCAAAGAACCCTGGCCTGGAAACACACAGGAAGAGAAAGAGATCAGGCAACAGTGATTCTATAGAAAGGGATGCTGCTCAGGAAGCTGAGGCTGGGACAGGGCTGGAACCTGGGAGCAACTCTGGCCAATGCTCTGTGCCCCTAAAGAAGGGAAAAGATGCACCTATCAAAAAGGTGAGGGTAGTGTGATTGGTAGATGATGTGGAGAAGAAATGAAATATAATGACTGCTTAATTGTTTTGTACACTTTAAAGTTCAGAAATGCGTGAGGGGTTATTAACCATGATGAAAGAGTCACTTGTTTGTGGCGTGAAAATCATTTGGATGAATGTTCCTTTATGTGCTTTTTTCTTAAATTCCTGAGGTAAGCCACCTGAAGGTACAACAATAATGGCAGTGTGTACTTAACATTGAACAACTAAAGTGGATCAGTTGTTTATGCATCTATAGAAGGTTTTCATAGATCATGTAATTCATATGCTGATGTCAAAGTGGAGAATTGGTCAGGCTGTAGCTGCAGTGAGAGAGGGCAAAGAAGGTATGACTCATACTCTGGCATTTCTCGCCTTCATTTAGAACAGCCAGCTGTGAATATAGGAAGGCTGGCTGGGTGCAGTGGTTCACGCCTGTAATCTCAGCGCTTTGGGAGGCCGAGGTGGGCAGATCACTTGAGGGTCAGGAGTTTGAGACCTGCCTGGCAAACATTGTGAAACTCCATGTCTACTAAAAATACAAAAATTAGCTGGGCCTGGTGGTACACACATGCTTGTAATCCCAGCTACTCGGGAGGCTGAGGCGGGAGGATTGCTTGAACCTGGAAGGCGGAGGTTGCAGTGAGCTGAGATTGCACCACTGCACTCCAGCCTGGGCGACAGAGCGAGACTCCATCTCAAAAAACAACAACAATAATAAAAAACAGCTGGGTGTGCTGGCTCACGCCTGTAATCCCAGCACTTTGGGAGGCCGAGATGGGCAGATCACCTGAGGTCAGGAGTTCGAGACCAGCCTGACCAACATGGCAAAACCTAATCTCTACTAAAAATACAAAATTAGCTGGGCGTGGTGGTGCATGCCTATAATCCCAGCAACTCCAGAGGCTGGGCAGGAGCATCGCTTGAACCCGGGAGGCAGAGGTTGCAGTGAGCCGAGATCACGCCATTGTACTCCAGCCTGGGCAACAAGAGCGAAACCCCATCTCAAAAAAAAAAAGAAAGAATATAGGGTCGGGTGTGGTGGCTCACGCCTGTAATCCCAGCACTTGGGGAGGTGGAGGCCAGTGGATCACCTGAGGTGAGGAGTTCAAGACCAGCATGGCCAACCTGGTGAAACTCCGTCTCTACTAAAAAATACAAAAGTTAGCTGGGCGTGGTGGTGGGCACCTGTAATCCCAGCTACTTGGGAGGCTGAGGCAGGAGAATCACTTCGGAGGTTGCAGTGATCACGCCGCTGCACTCCAGCTTGGGTGAGACAGAGTGAGACTTTGTCTCAAAAAAAAAGAGAATATAGGAAGGCAATGGAGTGAAGCAGAGTCAAGTGAATCTTGTTTAATTCTCAAAAACTAAGCTTATTTCCAAGTTTAGTTGTGCTATCACACAGTATTAACTGTTGCCAAATTTAATTATTGGCATTTGTAATTTACATTGCTTGTTTTTTTTTTTTTTTGTTTTTTTTTTTGTTTTTTTTTTAGGAATCCCTGGGCCACTGGAGTCAAGGCTTGAAGATTTCTATGCAGGACCCCAAAATGCAGGTCAGAATACAATTTTGGAATTTCAGTACATTTCATGTTGTAAATGACCACTCCACAGAGGTCTTAATTACAAATGAAATCAAAGGATATCAGTCTTTCTGAATGAGATTCATTTTATTGGGCTGTTCTGTGAGAACAAGAGGCTTTTCACATTGGCAATAAAGTAGCAGCTGTCATTGTTTGGAGAGAAAGCTGAGTTCTTCAAATGAATATCCCCTCTGCCTTGTGCCTTTTAAACTTCTGGGTACTTTAAGGGAAGTTGCATTAACCTTAGTATGGTTCCTTTCAGGGGAGCATCAGAGATAATACACTGTGACAGTAGTACTGTGCTGCCCTGGCATTAACAGTCAGACATCCCTGTAATCCCAGCACTTTGGGAGGCCGAGACGGGAGGATCACCTGAGGTCAGGAGTTCGAGATCAGCCTGACCAACATGGAGAAACCCTGTCTCTACTAAAAATACAAAAAATTAGCTGGGCATGGTGGTGCATGCCTGTAATCTCAGCTACTCGAGAGGCTGAGGCAGGAGAAT
Organism: Homo sapiens; assembly: GCF_000001405.40. Taxonomy (NCBI): domain Eukaryota; kingdom Metazoa; phylum Chordata; class Mammalia; order Primates; family Hominidae; genus Homo; species Homo sapiens. The sequence goes on along the minus strand of NC_000009.12, from coordinate 32,985,438 downwards.
CACTTGAATCCGGGAGGTGGAGGTTGCGGTGAGCTGAGATTGCACCATTGTACTCCAGCCTGGGCAACAAGAGCGAAACTCCATCTCAAAAAAAAAAAAAAAAAAAAAAAAACAGGCATCATCCTTGAGGAGCCTTTGAGTCCCACTTCAATTATATTCCTTGTTGACAAGGGGCAGGTCTAATAGGGCTCACTGGAACCCACGTGTACGTGTCACACAGTCTGCCATGTTGGAGTGGAGAAGGATGCTTTTGAATTTATGTCTACAGAGATTTTACATCACATTCTTGGGAACTATTTTGTACTGTGCATCTTCTGTGTATTCTGTGTAGTGTGGTGGTTGAAAACAGACTCTGGAGTCAACCACATCTGAGTTGGAATCCTAGATTTCCCTCTTAGGAACTATGACTTGTGCAAGACACTCAACCTGTCTGAATTTCAGTGCTCTCCTCTCTCAAAACTGGGCTATTAAAACCATTTGCACAAGACTGTGGGAATTAAGTGACTTAGTGAATATAACAACCAGGCACACAGAAGATTCTTAGTAGATGTCTGTTTCCTTCTCTTGTATCCCTCTGCTAGGTTTACAAAGATGAGCAGGTGGTGGTGATAAAGGATAAATACCCAAAGGCCCGTTACCATTGGCTGGTCTTACCGTGGACCTCCATTTCCAGTCTGAAGGCTGTGGCCAGGGAACACCTTGAACTCCTTAAGCATATGCACACTGTGGGGGAAAAGGTGATTGTAGATTTTGCTGGGTCCAGCAAACTCCGCTTCCGATTGGGCTACCACGCCATTCCGAGTATGAGGTAAGCCAGGTGGGTAGTGCTGCTGGCTCCTGGTTCTGTCCAGGTGGGCAGATAGATTCAGCCTGGGCTTGCTGAGGGCACATATTGCACTGAGACCCAGGGAAGTGGGATGGAGTTTTTCCAAAGCAGGTGGGCTGAAGCTTCCACCTCTCTGCCTGACTTGCATGCAAGCTTTGAGTTCCCACTTCTGCCTATAATTCAGTCATATTTGGTTCTTTGTTCCTCTCAAAATATAAATCTTCGAGAGCCTAATATATGAACTAGATGAAGCAGCTTCATTATCCTCAGATAAAGAATTGTGGTCAGTGGCTTTTATCAGATTCTTCAAAAGCGTCTATAACCCCAGAATGATTAAGGACCATTACTCTGAAGGAAACAAACATCATAGACTTCTGTAATGACAGCGTAGTAGATCCAGGATTTGAAAATAAAATGAGAGAAAAGTATAGAATTTGTTTTCCTGTGGCTTATGCCCAGAAGGATTCAGAAAGGAATGACTGATTTCTTTCAAAGAATACAAGCAAGGTGGATCTCCGTGATTTCTTTGATTTAAGCAATAAGATGATAAGTCTAGATTTTAGAGTTTTTATTTTGTTTTTAAAAAACTGTGATATAATATACATAACAAAATTTACATTTTAGTCATCTTTAAGTGTACAATTCATTGGCATTACTATATTCATATTACTATGCAACCATTACTACCATCTATCTCCAGAACTGTTTTCTCTTCCCAAATTGAAACTCTGTACCTTAAATAATAACTCTCCATTTCCCCCTCCCACTCCTGGCAACCACCATTGTACTTTCCTTCCCTGTGAATTTGACTACTCTAGGTACCTCATATTAGAGGAATCATACAAGGACATATTTGTCCTTTTGTGACTGGCTTATTTTACTTATTTACTTACTTATTTTACTTTACATAATGTCTTCAAGTCTTATCCATGTTGTAGCATGTGACAGGATTTTCTCTGCTTATTTTTTTTTAACTACCAACACTCACATTTTATTTAGGTGAATAATTATGACTTAGGTTACTGGCCACTTGAACCAAATGAAATCTTTGTGCCAGATTTTTCCCTAGTCAGTACTGATTCTTTTAAGTTGAGGCATAACTTACATACAATAAAGTGCATAATAAGATGCATAGTTTGATCAGTTTTCATAAGCGTGTATAATCTTTTCACTATCATTCTGATTAAGATACAGAAGATGTCTATCCTTTCATCCCAGAAAGTTCCCTTGTGCCCCTTTCCAGTTAATCCTCCCTCAAGCATTGCTTTTATTTCCTTCAGCATAGATAGTTTTTGTCTCTTCTAGAGCTACCATGTATAAATGGAATCATACATTGCATACTCTTTTTTGGTCTGGCTTTTTTGGGTCAGCATAATTTTGAGATTCATGTGTGTTATTGTGTATATCATAGACATATGTACTTTATTTATTTTTTTCCCCTTGAGTAAATATTTAGGGATCCCAGTCTGGGCAACATGGCAAAACCTGTCTCTACAAAAAATACAAAAAATTAGCCAAGGGTGGTGGTGCACACCTGCTACTTGGGAGGTTGAGTTGGAAGGATCACTTGAGCCCAGGAGGTTGAGGCTACAGTAAGCTATGATCACGCCATTGTACTCCAGCCTGGGCAACAGAGTGAGACTCTGTCTCAAAAAAGAAGAAGAAAAAAAAAGAATAAATATTTGGAGATGGAATTGTTAGGTCATAGGGTGGATGTATGTTGTACCTCACTTTAAAAATATAAATATATTTTTATTGTTAAAGGCTGATTTGAAAATTTAGGAGGGAAAGTCACCCATAATCCTGTTTCCCTAATGCAGAGCCCCTGACTAACAGAGCCCTTGGCCACTGAGCCCTTTTCACGTAGTGATCGTGATGCCCATACCTTTTTCCTACAGTGAATGTTGTCGTGCTAAGGAGAATGCTCACAGCAAGAGCTGTGGTAGGTATATATGGGAGGCAAAATGAGCCAATAAGCAAAGTTGCTATTTATATACCCTTTTATATTACTCTGTATGATGTAGTTTTGAATAAATGAACATATTAGAAAGGAAAAGGTGATAAACAAGTAAAATTATTTTTCCTATTGTAAAAGTAATGTTTTCAATTAAGAAAATATAAAAAATTAAGTATGAAAAAGAACAAAGACCTTTCATAATACTAACTGTAGATAACTAAACTATAGACCTTATTTTAGATAACTTACTAAACTGTAGACCTTATTTGAATTTCACCCATTTTTCCTGTATTGTTCTTTTTCTACTCCAGAATCCAATCTCACATTTCATTTATTTGTTCTCTCTTCTTAGTCTCCCTCAATCTGTGACAGTTCCTACTTTCCTGGCTTTCATGACCTTGACACTTTTGATGAATACTGGCTAATTGTCTTTAGGACGTCTTTTAATTTGGGTTTGTCTAATTTTGTTTTTCATGATTAGGTTGACGTTATGCATTTTTTTAATCACTGAAGTGATATTTCTGATTGTGTCCTTCTCAATATGTCATATGGGGGGGCATGATGTTGAGATGGTTTATTACTGATGATGTTAACCTTGATCATTTTGTTAAGGTGGTGTCTGCCAGGTTTTCACCTTCAAAATTACTGTTTTTTTTTTTTTAATTCATGAATATTTTGGGTTAGATATTTTGAGACTATACTACTATTTCTCCTCAAACTCGCACCCAATGATTTTAGCATCTATTGGTGCATCTTGCCTGTAATAGTTATTGTATTGGTATTTACTCTATGGTGACTTTATACTTCCTTCACCTAACTTATTAGTTGAAATTATTCTGTGTGAAAGCGCTGTTCTGTCTTTCTCATTAGTTCTTTATTCAATCATTTAATGGTATGGACTCATGGATGTTTATTCTATAGGTTATAATTCAATACTATAATTATTTTGTTGCTCAAATTGTTCAGCTTTGGTTATTGAAAGCTCCTTTAGGTCAGCTCTTGTGTCACTTAGATACGCCTTCAACATCTTTTGGGCAATTTATTTTCTGGCCCCACAAGATGTTCCAGGCTTATCTGGAATGAACCACTTCTCCAAAGAGCCCTAGGTCTTCTTGGGCACTAGGTTTCTGTGAGAGAAGTGGTTGATTCCAGGGTGTCCTTGCTTTCTAGGTCCTCTCAGCCATAGAGCCAGAAATGCATGTATGAATCCTAAGCCATACACACACACACACATACACACCCCTATAATTCTGTGTTTATCTACCTTTATTTGTATGTGAAAAACCATGAGTTCATACTGATATCTCTGACACCATTCCAACTCTAAGTTTCATTCTTGTTTCCCTTTTCCTTTTTTGTAACTACTTTCTCCAACAGTGAGAAACCTGGCTCTCATTAGTTACAATAAATTCATTTACTTGTTCAGTCCTAGTGTACCCATAAAATAGTTACAGGATTCCTAACCCATACCCCTGTGAGAAGGACATTTACTAACTAGAGTACAGTACTTGCCTATAGTTCTTTTTGTTTTTAGCCTTATCGTATCTAGTCAAAACACTGTTCTCCAAAGCTAGGTTACTATAGTATAGTTAATATATTTTCTTCCTCAATCCATTTAGTGTGGTTTCCTCATTCATTTGTAATACAGCTATGCTTATTTATTAGTGCTTATATTTCATTTTGGATTCTGCACACATGTTGATTGATTTTGATTATTTATTGGGAGAACGTGAAATATTACTGATTATAAGAGTGAAAGCTGTTATACAAAAAGGCATTCTACTTGGTTTAACAAGTCCAAAAGAGAATTCCTGATTTTCTTCCCCAAACCTGCTTTTTCACCTAACCTTCTTTATCTCAGTAAGTAACACTCTCCCAAAGCAACATGCAGCCCATTAATAAGTTCTGTTTGTTCTATTCCAAAATGCATTCAAAGTAGGATTGCTTGTTGACATCTCAGCTGCTACAGCTCAGCTCTAGTGTAGGCTGTGATTTTCTGGCCTAGACTGCTGTAGCAGCCTCCTTAACTGGTTTCTCCATGTTCCTCCCTATCCGTCCTTTCTTCACACAACAGTCAGAGTGATCTTTTAAACATGTAAATCAGGTTGCCCCTGTGGGCTTGGTTTGTGAGGAAGAGCCTGGCTCAGCCTGTCAGGACCACTGAGGCTTGTTTCTTGCCATCCTTTCCACCTCAGTTTTACACACTTCTCACCTCCAGCTGGCTGGGTGTGGGGAAGACCTGCCAGAGCCACATTGGACAAGGTGGTTCCCATTGCCAAGTAGATGGACAAGATGGTGCAGAAGAATACAGCTGGAGCATTGGATTTGCCAAAGGAGCTTAAAAATATTCCCATGACCATGGAATTATTACAGCCCCCAGAAGAATCAGAATATCAGTTAATGCTAATGGCAAGCAGCATAAAGATGAAGAAGTTACATCTTTAACAGTCTGTCATGAAATCTGGGAAAAAGTTACTATCAACCGAGAAAGACCCTGAAGAAAAGAAAAAAGAACCTGCAGTTACATTGCAGAATAACTCTGAAGCGAGAGAAGAAAGTAGCTCCGGTGGCAGTGCAAGCAGCAGAGAGGGTGAGACAAATGCTCTAGATACTCGTGTTTCATCTTTTATTCAGGAACGAAGCACTTCTGACTCTCTTTGGTTAAAGTGTTGCGAGGTGCTTGCTGCAGCTCTCCAAACAGGAGATGGCTACACTGCTATTGGAGCTGGTGAGGAAGAATTAGGATCTCAAATTGAGGAGGCTGTATATCAAGAAATTAAGGAATATAGGTACGAAATGCAAAAGTAGAGTATGAAGTAGGATATCAAATCTTAAAGAGCAAAGAATCCAAATTTAAGGGAAAATGTACCATGTGAGAATATTCCTCCTGTCTTATTTGCTAGAATGATGGCAGAGGAAATGGCTAGTGATGGGCTCAGAGAGATATGGAAAAACTTGACCAAAGAAGTCATCAGAGAGCATTAGGTGGCCAAGGCAGGTGGAACCCAGAGTGGCTTGTTCACATGTGCAAATGTAGTGCTGATGGACTGATAACATTCGTTGTCTGTAATGAATGTGGACGTCAGTGGAAGTTCTGTTGAGTTGGAATAACTACCAAAATATCTGGACTATTAAGAAATTAGATTTTGTATGTTCATTGCAGCACTATTCACAGTAGCAAAGACATGGGATCAACCATGATTGATGCCCGTCAGTAGTAGACTGGATGAAGAAAATGTGGTACATATACACCATGGAATACTACACAGCCATAGAAAAGAACGAGAACATGTCCTCTGCAGCAACATGGATGGAGCTGTAGGCCGTTATCCTAAGTGAACTAACACAGGAGCAGAAAACCAAATACCACATGTTCTCACTTATAAATGGGAGCTAAATACGGAGCACACATGGACACAAAGCAGGGAATGACAGACACTAGGGCCTATTTGACAGTGGCGGGAGGGAGGTGGGGGAGGATTGAAAAACTGCCTATGGGGTACTATGCTTATTACCTGGGTGGCGAAACAATCTGTATAGCAAACTCCTGTGACATACAATTTACCTATATAGCAAACCTGCACATGGATCCCTGAACCTAAAAGTTTTAAAAAGTTACCTATATTAAATATATTAATGATAGAAAAAAAGGAGAACCAACTTGGTAGTTAGCAAAACATAAGTTATATCCAAAAAAATATGCTTTTAGTAGTGTGATGGGACAGAAGCCCAATCATAGTAAATGGATCAAAAAGTGAATATCAACAATAGAGCTTTAGGGTTTGCGAACCACTGTTGTAAGAAAGTGGGTCATGGAAGTGGAGTCAGCAGAAACAGTGCTCATCTGGCTTGTAGTTAAGGGAGAATTGTAGCCTTTTCCTGTCCTGCTCTCCTGTCCCCCACCATGGATATTGAAGGTGGGAGGATACATACCATAAATGTTTATGGGACAGGTGATACCTCATTTAAAATCTGCTGTCTATTATTTATCAGAAATTGCACTTGAGCTTTATTTCTTTCATTTCATCATCTTAGCAACCCTGTAAAGTAGGTATCTTCACTTCCATTTCACAGATAGTGTTGCTGGGGCTTAGAAAATGATAACCCCAAATAAAGGCCTCAGAAGCAAAATTTCTCCTTGACCTTCTCCTGCTCCCGTCTCTTGCCCCTCATTCTCCCCCTAAGCAAGCCATAGAAACTATAATTCCTCTTTCTCAAGGCAGGTTATAGAAACTAGAACCTTCTTCCTCAAAGCCAACCAAAAACCCCAAAATATTACTCTAACCTTCTTTTCTATGTAGACCTGGCTATAAAGAAATTCCCTGATCTACCTTGTTTGATGGTAGGTCATAAGACTGCCATTCCCATACCTGGGAAGAAGGAATGCTGCACAAAGAGGTTAAGAAGAATCTGGACAGACAGGCCTTGCTGAGTTTCCCCACTCAGTCTATTCTCATTAAGTCGTATACCCTTTTGAAGCAGTAGTGGTTCTACATGGCTTTCCATTCTTCAACAAACCCAAGTGTAAAAATGGATAGTTTTCCCCGTATCTTTGCATCTTCATTTGGAAGGCTCCTGTGTCACATAAAACTTGGATTAAATAAATTTGTTATGCTTTTCAAAAAACAAAAAAGGATGGATTTTGTAATTAGATTTAAAACTGGCCAAGCAACTAGTTTTCCTACAAATTAGATTTTTAAAGCAACACACTTGGGTTAGTCCTTGTTTTTGACCTAATGCCCCTTCTTTAAATACCTTCTTATATCAGAGACCATATGATAATTATATGGTATCTGTTTCCGTTTTTTTTTTCTTTTTCTTTTTTGAGACAGAGTCTCACTCTGTTGCCCAGGCTGGAGTGCAGTGGTGCAATCTCAGCTCCCTGAAACCCCTGCCTCCTGGGTTCAAGCTAGTCTCATGCCTCAGCTGTCCGAGTAGCTGGGATTACAGGCATGCGCCACCACGCCCAGCTAATTTTTGTATTTTTAGTAGAGATGGGGTTTTGTCATATTGGCCAGGCTGGTCTTGAACTCCTGGCCTCAAATGATCCACCTGCCTTGGCCCCCCAAAGTACTGGGATTACAGGTGTGAGCCACTGCACCCAGGTTTTTTCCCCCCCATTTTTATAAATGAATTTTTTTATTCATTTTTTGTTTTCGTTTTTGTTTTAAGAGATGGGAGTCTCACCCTCTCTCCCAGTCTGGAGTACAGTGTCAAGATCATAGCTCACTGCGGCCTTGAACTCCTCGGCTCCAGGTATCCTTTTGCCTCAGCCTCCCGAGTAGCTGGGGCTATGGGTGTGCCACCATGCCTGGCTGATTAAAACAATTTTTTAGAGATGAGGGTCTCACTATGTTGCTCAGGCCAATGTTGAACTCCTGACCTCAAGTGATCCACCTGCATCAGCCTCCTGAGTAGCTGGGATTACAGGTATGAGCCACGTGCTTGGGTCATTTTTATAAATTGATATGAAACTTTTATCAATTAAAATTCTGGTAATTTATTTTTATCTCTTAAGTGAAAATGTACCTTGACTTTTTTATTTTTTAACGGTTTAAAACATGTGCAGTAGAAATTCTCTGTTAATACATAAATGGAAATTACATTTTTTTTCATATTGGCGTGTATCTACAAATATTAAAGGACAAGAAAAGGTAATATAATTTTAGGTTTAACAAATATGGTGTATATTCAAATAATACTTGACCAGCTTATCTAAATTGTACATAATATTTGGACTAGCATATGAATTTGATTTTAATTATTATGTTCACAAGCCTGGGATAATTAGATGTTATTTTGCATCTGTAACTGTAATCATTTCTTGTAATTTCTTGTGCAGGTGTATTGTACTTAATAGATTTTACTTTTGGAAATATGACTGTTGAAATTAGCTTAGCTTTTATTTACTGTTTGTAGAGTATTTTCGTTTTGGAGAAGAACACTGTTTTAGTTTAGGACGCTTTTCAAGAGTGAAAGCTTCTGATGATTTTTTTCCCTCATAGGAAGAAATACTGGAAAGAAAATGTTAGTATAATGCAGTTATTGTAACAGCTTATGACTTGATTTTGATTTGGAAACCTATACTGACCAGATATTAAGCTTAAGGATTGTATAAATCATTAAAGCTGTGGTCTTTTCATATGGAGGTTGATAGATAATTTTTTTGTCTTGAGTCTTATTTGGTGACTTTCTATTCATGTAATTCATCATGTGTGAGTGAGGTTGTTGAACAAACTGAACACATGGGCTACAGCAAGTAGTTTTTATTTTTTTTTATTATACTCAAGTTCTAGGGTCCATGTGCACAACAGGCAGGTTTGATACATAGGTATACATGTGCCATGTTGGTTTGCTGCGCCCATCAACTCATCATTTACATTAGGTATTTCTCTTAATGTTGTCCCTCCCCGAGCCCCCCACCCCCCTGACAGGCCCCGGTATGTGATGTTCCCTGCCCTGTGTCCAAGTGATCTCATTGTTTAGTTCCCACCTATGAGTGAGAACATGCAGTGTTTGGTTTTCTGTCCTTGTGATAGTTTATAGCAAGTAGTTTTACAGTACAGATCTTTCCATTACATTTTATTGTTTAAACAAAACAAAATTTGTTTTTCTGTTAGGAATAAGAAAAAAATGGTTTTTACATAGGTTCTTACGGTACGCTTGGAGTACACTTACAGGCCACTGCTGCAGTCTACATTTTATTGTGCTGAATCTGCATTCTATCAGATACCCATGGAAAGACCTCAGTATATGCTTTGCACTCTGCTTTGCTCCCCTTTTCCAATTTCCTATTGCAAATCATTTTGATGTAATACAGAAAAAACAGCATTTAAATATCTACATGAAGAGTTGACCCACTAATGTCAGCCGACCTCTACTTTGTCAGCTCATAGTTAAATCTTTTATCATTTCAAAAATAAAGTGCATTTTCTTTTTCTTTTTCTTCTTTTTTTAGTGATGGAGTCTAACTTTGTCACCCAGGTTGGAGTGCAGTAGCATGATCTCAGCTCACTGCAACCTCCACCTCCTAGGTTCAAGTGATTCTCCTGCCTCAGCCTCCCAAGTAGCTGGGATTACAGGCACCTGCCACCACGCCCAGTTAGTTTTTTGTATTTTTAGTAGTTAGTTTCACCATGTTGGGCAGGCTGTTCTTGAACTCCTGACCTCAAGTGATCCACCTGCCTCGGCCTCCCAAAGTGCTGGGATTACAGGCGTGAGCCGCCGCACCTGGTTGCATTTTCAAAAGAATGAATTTAAGAATAATAAAATTAAAATAGGCCCACTTTTAAATTGTGGTCCATTTTATAATTCAATTTTTATTGTTAACAAAAAAAAAGAGTATAAATCAGATAGTAGCACTCTTCGGCTGAAAATCCTTCAATGGCTTCCCAGTAGATTCAGAATAGAATGCAAACCCTTTGTCACCTTTAAGAGGCTTTATGACCTGGCTCCTGCCTCGTTTCTGCTGCTTGGCTCCAACAATTCAGGCCATACATTTGGGCCATATTACCTTCTTTCTCTTTCTTGGTTGCACTGAGCTTTTCCTCATCTCAGGGCCCCTGCTCTTGGCCTCCTCACTTTCTGAGACACTCTTCCCACAGACCTAGCTTGCTTGGGTGCTGTCTCCGTTCAAATCACTTCCCGGGAGATGCTTTCCCTGAACACTGTTAACTAAAGAGGGCAGCTTCTACCCCTGGGCACTCTATCCCATTTTCCTTGTTTATTTTTTCTTGGCAATGTTAATTCTTTAAGTTTTTTTTTGTTTGTTTATTTGTTTGCTTATTTATTATTTGTCTTTCCTCATTAGCGTACAATTTCTATAAGGGCAGAGGCTTTTCCCATTTTGTTTCTTGCTAAAGTCTCAGTGCCTGGAACAGTGTTTGGCCATAGTACATACTTATTGAGCATTAAATATTCTTAAGTAAATGAATGAATCAATTGAATTAAATGGACACACTATCACTTCAATAGTATGAATATTCAAAGAGTATTCAATAGTATGAATATACAATGTACTCATACTCTTTGTCATTTTGATTAAGCCATAGTTGTTAAAGAGTTTAATGCTCAGTTTTTTTTTCTTTCAACTAGCCATGTACATCTTCATGTGATCAGCCAGGATTTTGATTCTCCTTGCCTTAAAAACAAAAAACATTGGAATTCTTTCAATACAGAATACTTCCTAGAATCACAAGGTAAACAGTGTTCCTTGGTTTTCACATTTGTTTCATTTTCTGAGCTGTTCTTATATTTGATTTGGTTGTTTCCCTGAATAACAGTCTGACCTCAAAAACCTATGTACAACTTTGTGTTCCCTATAAAGCGAGCCCTGTGAAAAGAAACTGGATTATTTGGATTGTAGTATTATTGCCACTTTGCTGTGAGTTGTCTTCTTGGGGGACCTAGAAAGCTATTATGTCAGGGTCAGTGTTTTATTGTGACAAAAGGGGACTTAAAGGCTGCCGTGAGAATTAGTGGAGTTCATGGATAAGAAAGCTGTGGACAATTCTTTGTCTCTTCTGCCATCAGTTGGGTGGGAGCTTTGGGGCTGCCTCCTGTCAGGAGTGGTGAATTAGCAGGGGGAACCCTGTGTATATGTAGAAGAAAGCATTTTCTGGTGTGTGATGCTTTCTTACACACCAGGAAAGCATTTCCTGGTGTGTAAGAACTTAAGCATTGATGGGGTGTTCACAATGGCAGCTGGCATTTACCAAGGGCCAACCAGAGGTAAAGCACTCTGATGAGCTCTTGACAGAGTAACATGGATTGCCTAGAGTGTGTCCTGAAGGAGTGTATTATTTCAAAGGTGGGTTGCTCATATTTATAATCTGATTAAGCTCATTTTGCCTGAGGGAAGTCTAAACTAAGCTTACGGAGCTGTAGAATACCTGGCCTGGCATACTGATTGGAGTCACGTTTTTGATTTTTTTTTTTTTTTTTTGGTATCTCATATTGGTTTTCCAGAGTAGCTGGGATTTGACTTTTCTTCCTTGCCTGCAGCTGTGATCGAGATGGTACAAGAGGCTGGTAGAGTAACTGTCCGAGATGGGATGCCTGAGCTCTTGAAGCTGCCCCTTCGTTGTCATGAGTGCCAGCAGCTGCTGCCTTCCATTCCTCAGCTGAAAGAACATCTCAGGAAGCACTGGACACAGTGATTCTGCAGAGCCTGAGCTGCTGCTGTGGTGTGGCCCACTGGAGCAAACTGCTGGCACCTATTCTGGGTTGCTTGTGAACTTCTACTCATTTCCTAAATTAAAACATGCAGCTTTTTCACAAATTTATTCTATTATTGAGTGGCCACAATGTAGAGTGGCTCAAAGTACTTCAGGATTAGGAATTTGGGTTTGTCATAGATGTATTCTCTGGTGAGGGTGGCTGGGATATACCTGACCCACCATCTTCAGAAGGACCCATGTCAGGTCTGACCATTGGGAGCAAAGCCATGTTCACACTGACCTAATGCAGAGTATGGAAGCATTGGGCTGGTTATACATTTCTGTTTCTTAGATTTATCCTCCGCCTCTGTAGGCATGGACAACCTTTAATCAGAGCATCTAGAGTGGCCTCTTGTTTATCCTGAAGATACTGATGGGTCTTGTTTTCTGTTAGTCTGTTTTGTAATATTCTTTTCCCTTCCTTCATGGGGAGGCTTAGTTTGTCCAGTCCTTCCATGCCCTTCTATCCCAGATTACCTAAATGTTCCCTTCTCAGGAATTCTGTCTCATCAGTTCTTCACAGTGAGAAAAGAGGCTAGATGATGGTGTGGGGGGTTGGAGTTTTCTTCTAATACCGAGGGTTCCTGGCTGTGAGGAAACAGCCACATGTTCGTCATGATTGAGCTGTGAAGTCTTCTTGGACCTGTTGTCTGAAAATAAAGTTAATTTGTTTGAGGCATCTCTCTTAAGTAGGTGGAAACTATTGAAGTTCAGCTAACAATCACAGCATAGGTTCTGATGCATGGAAAGGTGGTTGGTGAATGAAAAAGTTGCGTAGAGCCACTACTTTCTTTTTCCCTGAGAATAAATTTGGATAAAACAGTTGTATTCAGTTGTTTTTTGGGATAATATTAGAACTAAAGGTGAAGGGAAAACTAAAAAGTTGGGTTTGATGAAATTGTGGATATCTTTGGGGATGTGACTTTTCACTCAAGTTGTGAGAAAAAAGGAAACACCCTTAACAAAAGCTTCTTCTGGAGAGAAAAAGCCACAGTCCATAGAGACATTTGACCTCAATGTCTTTCACAAACAAACAAGATGCCACAGTGGTTACTTAGTGAACATAGGTATAGTAATAATTATATAATTAATGATCATAGCAGCTCACATTTGTCTGACTCCTGTGTGTCCTGCATTATGCTAAACACTGTACTCAAGTGATCTCATTGAATTCTCACTGTACATAACTCTATGAGGTTACGTGCTATTGTTATGCCCCTTTAGTGGATGAGCATCTAATATTCTACAATGGTTCCTGGGCACTATCCAAAGTTGGTATTGATTCTGATGCATCAACTCATTATTTTTCTTATCAATTGAACAGTATAAATGCAAGACTAACAGCAGAAGCCATAGAACCCAGGGGCCTTGGACCTGTGCTGATCAAAAGCTTTCCGTGGCATTTCATTGATTTCCCTGAGATCAGCCAGTTCCTTTAGCCCTTTTTGTCCATCTCTCATTCCCAACATCTTTCATCTCTTTTCTCTGCTCCTTCTGCACTCCAGGATTGTAATCCTTAGGTCATTAGTCCATCCATCCATAGTTCTTCTATCTGGCTTGATGCTGGACCTTTGGGCCTGCTTGATTGTCTGCTTCGTCTCCTGAGGTGGTTGTCTACATACACTGTGGCTCCTGGACGTTCTTCCCCAACCCAGCTGCAGAGGGCATGTGGCTTCATAGCCTTTTATTTGCTGTCATCAGGTACCAGGCACAGAAACTCTTGAAAATTGTCTGGGCACGGTGGCTCACGCCTGTAATCTCAGCACTTTGGGAGGCCGAGGCGGGCAGATCACAAGGTCAGGAGATCGAGACCATCCTGGCTAACATGGTGAAACACCGCCTCTACTAAAAATACAAAAAAAAAATTAGCCGGGCATGGTGGCGGGCACCTGTAGTCCCAGCTACTTGTGAGGCTGAGGCAGGAGAATGGTGTGAACCCAGGAGGCGGAGCTTGCAGTGAGCCGAGATTGTGCCACTGCACTCCAGCCTGGGTGACAGAGTGAGACCCCATCTCAAAAAAAAAAAAAAAAAAAAAAAAAAAATCATGGGCATATTAGTTAAAAACAGGCTCTGGATTCAGACCTGGGTTCCAGTCCTGGCTCTGCTACTCACAGCTGAGGGATCTTGGGCAAGTTACTTATTTTCTCTGAACTTTGGAATTCACATATGTAAATGAGCATAACAGAGTTGAGTTATAAGGATTAAATAATCTATGTAAAGGGTTTAGCATAGTATCTTGCATAGAGAAAGACTCAATAAATGGTAACTGGAAGCCTCTGCTTTTATCTCAGTGGAGGCTGGGAAAGAGGAATTCACCTTATCCATGCCTCTCTCTGCATCTGAAGCCTTACTGCCCCTGGAAACTTTCTAAATATGTACTCCATGGACTCCTTAGATCAGAATTACTGGTTTCCCTTTAAAAAAATGTAAGCACTTGGGCTTTACCAAATAATTACTGAATCACAATCCTGAGGGCCTAAGAATCTTCATTTTAAACCATTCAGGATGAACTTGATTTTATTGATGTTTGAGAACCACAATATAAATGAACCTTTGGCTTCAAAGCACCTTGCATTTCTGAAGCTTATGGATTTGGCTGTTCCCTGCCAGGACACAAATAGCATTTTCTGGTTAGCTGCCTGGGCCTGTCATAGGTCTGCCTTCCCTCTGCTGTGTCAGGGTTATTTCAGAGTCTGGGGAGACCTCCGGCATTAGCTGAAGGGGAGTCCCTCGTTACAGGGATCAGCCCTTCCTTTCTTCAGGAGTTTGGCAGAGCTCCTTTGGCCCCAGGCTCTTAGGAGCCATGTCTGGAGATGACTTCCCCTCAGTTGCTCCCGTTCCCTCTTCATGCCCAGAGATCAGTCCAGTGGCTTGGTCTGGGACCTGTAATGAACGCTGCCAGCCTTAGGCTCAGAGCGTAAGTATTTTTCCTTCTCTGGGCCTGTCTCTGAGATACCCAGGTACAAATGGTCCTTGTAGGGACTAGATCATACTTGAGATGGTAGTTAAGGATGTCTTTAGATTCAGGGATATTTTCTAGAGCCTGGCATCTGATAGTCACACAGACTGGACATGGCTGGATATCAGAGAGTTAGGACTCATCTGTCAGTGTTGGCCTAAATGCTTCCCTCTGCTTCCAACAACTCCAACTTGGAGGGAGACTTTCGCAGGGCTCTGAAGATTCTACCATAGACTAATTTTTAAAAATGTGATGAAAGCCGTGAAACCTCTTCAGCATAATGAATATTTACACATTTTGTATATGTTATCAGGGAATTTATGGAGCCACTGACGTGCTTCCATAGGGTCTGTGGACCCCAGTTTAAGAATCTCAAGAGAAAAGGGTCATTACCATGCATCTGGGATATACAGGAGGGGTCTCAGGTCACTGTGGAGGACTGGCGCCCACCACCATGCCTGGCTAATTTTTATATTTTTAATAGAGATGAGGTTTCACCATGTTGGCCAAGCTGGTCTCAAACTCCTGAGCTCAAGTGATCTTCCCACCTCAGCCTCTCAAAGTGCTGGGATTACAGGCGTGAGCCACTGCGCCAGGCTTTTTTTTTTTTTTTTTTAAATATTTTACCAACCAAGAAGAAGCATTGTAGTTCTGGCAGCCACAAGTTGAAAGCTGACACAACCCACTGCCCCCACCCCCAACTAGTACTGTTTGACATTTATTGGAGGAAAAAAACTATCATTTATTCACATTGAAGAATTAGTTACTGGCCAAAGACCTTTTGTAGAATCTTCTCCAGAAACTGTGGGAGGTCCTCCTAGAATGCTAGTTGGAGTTGCCAGGGTCCAGAGGCACCTCCATGTCCTGGGTCACCAGACCACCAGCCTTTGCGGCTCTTTCCCCAGCTGCATTCTGGAGGTAGGAAGCTGGGCCCAGGGCAGAGAAGGGGGCATCTGGGGATGTCTGAAGAGCCAGTTGAGCAGCTGAATCACAGGCATTCTCTAGGTTACAAATACATTGCTCAGAGACTAGGACTGCTTTCGAGAACCCACAAAGTGGAAGATGTTCATGACAAAGCAAGAGGGTCAATAGGTCAAATACTAAAATGTGTTCCCTCCAGCTGGCCAGGCATTAGGAAAGAGACCCAAGATGTGGGAGGGAGGCCCCAATAGGTATCTGAATCCCCCACATCCCCGCAGTAGCTCAAAGCCTCTATGTCCCCTTTATGTGAATGAGAAAAGGCATGCCCTGCAAGCAGAAGCTTTTAGCTCACACTCACTTGAGACTGAGGGCCACATAGGGTGCAACCGTACGTACAATCTTACGGTGTGGGGTCCCTGTTTCTCATGAGGTTCTCTAGGAAAGGTAGTTTTTTTGGTTCTCCATCATGTACCCAACGAAATTAAAAGAATATGGAACAAAACAGCCTTGCAATAAAATTTCGTTGAGTGAATGACACCTGTGTCAATACACTTGGAATGGATGTAGAAAAGATAACTTTTTCTGTTACATCTGAATTTGATTGGCAAGCATGTTGTCCAGTGAGTCTGCATCTTTGCCCTTAGAAACAGTTATTTTTATTTTTTAAATCCCTTTTTTTCACAGGTGTTGATCTTTAATTTTTTTTATTTAAACATTTTTTCTTGCCTTCTTCATTTTTCCTTCATATGACTTTGGAAACATTCTGATAAACATCTTACTGCCATTGTTTATGGGAAAAAAGTATATCTTACAGGTTAGAATTAGTGGAACATAAGCATGTTAATATTTTTCCACAGAATTTTCCAAATCTTTGCTAACAAAGCAAGTGATTAGGGAAACTGGGGTTTTCCGTATCTTTTCTGTGAATGGTCTATTTTCGGGGCTTGCCATGTTTGGCCACCAGATGGCAGCATTTGAACAATAAATTTTTAATTGTCTTCCACAAGACAAAGCTGTTTTTGAAGCCCTTTTATAAAGTATCTTATGTTTCAGAATCAATGCTTCAAAATAAAATATTTAAGGGGCTTTTAAAATAAGACTGATGTGTGTTTAACGTATCTCCTAATTAAGATAGAAGTTTGAGGGAAAACCAGTGTGTGGGTCAAAATACAAAACATACACGATTGACTGGGAGGCTGTTTGGCTGAGAGGTGAAATAGACTCTAAAGTTGGCTGGAAGCTGGGCGCGATGGCTCACGCCTATAATCCCAGCACTTTGGGAGGCTGAGGCTGGCGGATCATTTGAGGTCAGGAGTTCGAGAACAGCCTAGCCCCTAGCCAACATGGCAAAACCCTGTCTCCACCAAAAATACAAAAATTAGCCAGGTGTGGTGGCACGCGCCTGTAATCCCAGCTACTTGGCTGGCTGAGGCACGAGAATCGCTTCAACCCAGGAGGCAGAGATTGCTGTGAGCTGAGATCGTGCCATTGCACTCCAGCCTGGGTGACAGATCAAGACTGTGTCTCAACAAACAAACCCCAAAAAACATTCTTTCTATTAAAAAAAATAATAAGTTGGCTAGAGCCAAGGTTGAAGCCTGATTCTGGCAATCATGAAATGGGTCTTGGGGCATGTCAATGCATGGTAGGCATTGAAAATATGCTGGCAAATTTTCTTAATTTGACCCCAAGTTAGTGACTGTTGTTCACATCACAAGAATACCTGGGAGTAGCACTGGTAGCAGACACTTCTTTTGGGCATATTCTTCAAAAATGGCATCATTTTTACATCGACAATTGCTAAGTCGCTGGTGGTCAAATATTAGAGGAAGCACTGTCAAAGCAGGACGGTCAATATACAGAGAAGGTAAAGGGCTGTGTCTGCATTTTCCATGGGCCAGCTTCCCCGCAAACCTCCTTTTGATAGAAGAACCTAGCTTCATCTGTCTTCCATCTCTTCCAAGCCTTCTGTCTTTTAAGCAGGCAGAATAAAAGCTCCAATGCCAAAGAGTACAAGAATATTAAAATTGAAAAGGACTTTATGTACCAGGGGTCCTGACATTTTGAGGGAGTCATAGATCCAAAATTTGGTGAAGATGATAGCCCCTTTCCCATATGTTTTGCATGTAATTTCAAGGGAAGCACCCCAAAAATCAATAATCCATGGATTTTCTAGGGCAGGTCTTCTCAGCTGGTGTGCGTGTGTGTGTGTGTGTGTGTGTGTGTGTGTGTGTGTGTGTGTGTGTGTGTATCCCCTAGATTCTAATTATTTTGAACCAACTGGCAGTCCTTTTTTCCAAACTACACACAGAAAGTCACTCTGCTACCACTGGGCATCTAATCTCTCTGGTGCTTTGGGGCAAAGTTTAATCTCTTGCCTGGAGAATCTATCAGAACTCTTTATTCTAGTAGCCTCTGATGTTCCATTGAGGGATTTGAAACATAGAAGTGACTTATAATATCAGCAACCAACTTATGTCCTAATTAAACATCAAGAGTGCTTGCATTCCCAAATTCATGCTGGGAGAGAATATACTAAAACGTTAATTAGCGGTCCTCTCTTGGTGGTAAGAATGTGGATAATTTAAATTGTGTTATATTGTTGTGCACGCTTCTAAATTAGCTACAGTGAATACATATTTGGGAGTGTGAAAAAAGCCTCAAATTTTATTTTTAAAAAGTGATAGGTCACAAAGGAATGTAATCAACATTCAATTATTTATATTAATAGCTGATACAACAAAAAGTGGCTAATTTTTTTTTTTTTTTTACAAATAATGCCAGTTCCATTCGAGTGTTCTGTGGCCCTCCAGAGACAGGCATCCTGCAAGGCCAGATTTCAAGACCAAATTTGCTTGAGTCTGAGAATGACACACGTGAAGGTAATTCATTTGATCTGATGGATCTGATATTCCTAACACTAGATCTAGAAAAATAGTGGCTTTTTCTCTGTTTGCCCCTAACCTCAATGTCTGCGAGACACCAACTACATTTTAGTTATTCAAAATTGCTGTCCATAGCAACTTTCTGTTTGTACTTACAAATGCCTTTCACCACCCATTGAGATCCCATGATTTCCCTTGTAAATTATGTTGATATGAAATGTTACATTTGGTTTCCAAATACTGAACCACCTTGAATTCTGGGGGTGAATCCTCTTGGTTCCCTAGGGCTTCTCTTTCAGTATTGACTTTGACTCTGAAACATTCGTGATGGGATGGGTTTGGGGAATAAGATTTATAGATTGATTTATGTATTTGGCCTGGTCCCCAGATTTTAACAAAAGTATCAGGAAAAGGGGAAGAAAAGATGGAAAATGAGAAGAATGGTTAGAATTTTGGCTTGTTGGATCAGTTCCCAGAACATCCTTTGTGTTAGAGAAATCAAGTAATGGGAGAAGTGGAAAGAAAACAAAAAAGTTAGTGAAGCTAAACCAATCTACATAGTGAAGACAGAAGGGGGTGAAGGACTGAAAAAGATAGGTGAATATTTGGGGCAGACTTTGAGGCATCTGGGAAGTGGGAGCTTTGGAGGGCTCTGGGAGATTTGGGGAAAAGAAGGGGATTTGAAGAAGGGTTGGTCTCTCTGGGTATAAATGAGTCCCTTTTAATATATTTTTGAGAGACAAACAAAGATTATATACTTGATTAATTTTTTTTTCTTTTTTTGGTAGAGACAGGGTCTCACCATGTTGCCCAGGCTGATCTTGAACTCCTGGCCTCAAGGGATCCTCCCATCAGCCTTCCAAAGTGTTGGGATTATAGGCATAAGCCACTGCACCTGGCCTTTTTGGCCACATTTTGACTTCTGTTGTTCCTATTCCAATTTCTCATTTCTTGCATTTTGTATTTCTTCTTTTTTTCTTGATAATATTTGCTAGATGTCTGCTTATAAAACGCTGTTTTTTAGAAAAGTAGGTTTTCTTTATAACTCTTATTTTTGCCTTTTCTTTTGCTTTAAAAAAAAACTTTTGAGTCAAAGTTCATATACTTTAATATTAAGAATTTTCTTTTGGCTGGGTATGGTGACTTACACCTGTAATCCCAGCACTTTGGGAGGCTGAAGCAGGCAGATTGCTTGAGCCCAGGAGTTCGAGATCAGCCTGGGCAACATGGTGAGACTCCATCTCTAAAAAAAAAAGTTAAAAAATTAGCTGGGTGTGGTGGCAAACACTTGTAGTCCCAGCTGCTCAGGAGGCTGAGGTGAGGATTGCTTGAGTCTGGGAGGTCAAGTCTGCAGTGAGCCGTGGTCATGCCACTGCACTCCAGCTTGGGTGACAAGCTGGAGTCTCTTTTGGGTCTCAAAAAGAAAAAAAAAGAATTTTATTTTTATGATGAAATAAATTTTTAAAAATAATGAAAATATTTATGGCTATAAATTGAATGTTGGGTTGGACCTGAGATTTACAGAGACTGCCTTGGCTGTTGATAAGAAGAAAATACTTACTCTAGTTTCAAGACCTGAACCATCAGGTTTTCTTGTTTCCATCAGAGAAGTCACATGTCAGGATGCTTAAGTGTAGGATAAGGCTTTGCTCCTTGTATATTTCACAAATTTTTTTTTCTTTTTTCTTTTTTTGAGATGGGTTCTAACTCTGTCACCTAGGTTGGAGTGCAATGGCATGATTATAACTCACTGCAGCCTTGAACTCCTGGGTTCAAGTGATCCTTCCACCTTAGCCCACAAATATTGTTTCTTCCTATTTTCTTATACATGAGTAGCCTTCTACCCCCGAGCACAGAAACACAGGATCTGCTATTAGTCTTTTATACTTCAGCATGATTTTACAGATCACTATTATCTTTTCCAGACAGGAATTTGCATTTCAATTCTTTTTGTACAACAAAAAGCTTTGTCCTCAATTGAAGGATTTTTAATTTTAACGAAGTCCAATTTTTACATTTTATCTTTTGTAAATTGTATTTTGGTGTTGTAAAGTCATTGCTAAACTCAAGGTCACCTAGATACCTAGATTTTCTCCTATATTATCTTCTAGGAGTTTTATACTTTTATGTTTTATATTTATGTCTGTGATCCATTATGTCTATGAGTTAATTTTTGTGAAAGGGGTAAGATTGTTATTTAGATTCATTTCCGTGAATGTCCAGTTGAAGCATTTTTAAGCATTATCAGATGGGGAATATTTTTTTTTTTAGTGAGAAAAGACATTTATTTTCTTATGTAAAACATATATTGCATATAACAGTAATAATGACATAAGTTGATTTATAAAGAAGGCAAAAATAAACAATATTCAGAATAAAAAGCTGATAGCAGTAGAAATTTAAAAATTGAAAACTTTTTTTTTTTTTTTTGAGACGAAGTCTCACTCTTGTCCCCCTGGCTGGAGTGTGATGGCACAATCTTGGCTAACTGCAACCTCCACTTCCCAGGTTCAAGCAATTCTCCTGCCTCAGCCCCGCGAGTAGCTGGGATTACAGGCATCTGCCACCATGCCTGGCTAATTTTCGTGTGTGTGTATATATATATATATACACACACACACATATATGTATATACACACACACATGCATATATATATACACATATATATACACACACATGTATCTACACATACATACACATATATATATATATACATTTATTACACTTTAAGTTCTAGGGTACATATGCACAACGTGCAGGTTTGTTCCATAGGTATACATGTGCCAAGTTGGTTTGCTGCACCCATTAATGTCATTTACATTAGGTATTTCTCCTAATGCTATCCCTCCCCCAGCCCCCTACCCCACGACAGGCCCTGGTGTGTGATGTTCCCCACCCTGTGTCCAAGTGTTCTTATTGTTCAATTCCCACCCATGAGTGAGAACATGTGGTGTTTGGTTTTCTGTCCTTGTGATAGTTTGCTGAGAATGATGGTTGCCAGCTTCATCCATGTCCGTGCAAAGGACATGAACTCATCGTTTTTTATGGCTGCATAGTACTCCATGGTGTATCTGTGCCACATTTTCTTAATCCAGTCTATCATTGATGGACATTTGGGTTGGTTCCAAGTCTTTGCTATTGTGAATAGTCCTGCAATAAACATATGTGTGCATGTGTCTTTATAGTAGCATGATTTATAATCCTTTGGGTATATACCCAGTAATAGGATCACTGGGTCAAATGGTATTTCTAGTTCTAGATCCTTGAGGAATCACCACACTGTCTTCCACAATGGTTGAACTAGTTTACACTCCCACCAACAGTGTAAAAGCATTCCTATTTCTCCATATCCTCTCCAGCATCTGTTGTTTCCTGACTTTTTAATGATCGCCATTCTAACTGGTGTGAGATGGTATCTCATTGTGGTTTTGATTTGCATTTCTCTGATGACCAGTGATGATGAGCATTTTTTCATGTGTCTATTGGCTGCATAAATGTTTTCTTTTGAGAAGTGTCTATTCATATCCTTTGCCCACTTTTTGATGGGGTTGTTTTTTTCTTCAAAATTTGTTTAAGTTCTTTGTAGATTCTGGATATTAGCCCTTTGTCAGATGAGTAGATGGCAAAATTTTTCTCCCATTCTGTAGGTTGCCTGTTCATTCTGATGGTAGTTTCTTTTGCTGTGCAGAAGCTGTTTAGTTTAATTAGATCGCATTTGTCTATTTTGACTTTTGTTGCCATTGCTTTTGGTGTTTTAGTCATGAAGTCCTTGCCCATGCCTATGTCCTGAATGATATTGCCTAGGTTTTCTTCTAGGGTTTTTATGGTTTTTAGGTCTTACATTTAAGTCTTTAATCCATCTTGAATTAATTTTTGTATAAGGTGTAAGGAAGGGATCCAGTTTCAGCTTTCTACATACGGCTAGCCAGTTTTCCCAGCACCACTTATTAAATAGGGAATCCTTTCCCCATTTCTTGTTTTTGTCAGGTTTGTCAAAGATCAGATGGTTGTAGATGTGTGGTGTTATTTCTGAAGCCTCTGTTCTGTTCCATTGGTCTATATCTCTGTTTTGGTACCAGTACCATGCTGTTTTGGTTACTGTAGCCTTGTAGTATAGTTTGAAGTCAGGTAGCATGATGCCTCCAGCTTTGTTCTCTTTGCTTAGGATTGTCTTGGCAATGCAGGCTCTTTTTTGGTTCCATATGAACTTTAAAGAAGTTTTTCCCAATTCCGTGAAGAAAGTCATTGGTAGCTTGATGGGGATGGCATTGAATCTATAAATTTCATTGGGCAGTATGGCCATTTTCATGATATTGATTCTTCCTAACCATGAGCATGGAATGTTCTTCCATTTGTTTGTGTCCTCCTTTATTTCATTGAGCAGTGGTTTGTAGTTCTCCTTGAAGAGGTCCTTCACATCCCTTGTAAGTTGGATTCCTAGGTATTTTATTCTCTTTGTGGCAATTGTGAATGGGAGTTCACTCATGATTTGGTTCTCTGTTTGTCTGTTATTGGTGTGTAGGAATGCTTGTGATTTTTGCACATTGATTTTGTATCCTGAGACTTTGCTGAAGTTGCTTATCAGCTTAAGGAGATTTTGGGCTGAGATGATGGGGTTTTCTAAATATACAATCATGTCATATGCAAACAGGGACAATTTGACTTCTTCTTTTCCTAATTGAATACCCTTTATTTCTTTCCCTTGCCTGATTGCCCTGGCCAGAACTTCCAACACTATGTTGAATAGGAGTGGTGAGAGAGGGCATCCCTGTCTAGTGCCAGTTTTCAAAGGGAATGCTTCCAGTTTTTGCCCATTCAGTATGATATTGGCTGTGGGTTTGTCATAAATAGCTCTTATTATTTTGAGATACATTCCATCAATACCTAGTTTATTGAGAGTTTTTAGCATGAAGGGCTGTTGAATTTTGTCAAAGGACTTTTCTGCATCTATTGAGATAATCATGTGGTTTTTGTTGTTGGTTCTGTTTATGTGATGGATTATGTTTATTGATTTTCGTATGTTGAACCAGCCTTGCATCCCAGGGATGAAGCCAACTTGATCATGGTGGATAAGGTTTTTGATGTGCTGCTGGATTCAGTTTGCCAGTATTGAGGATTTTTGCATCGATGTTCATCAGGGATATTGGTCTAAAATTCTCTTTTTTTGTTGTGTCTCTGCCAGGCTTTGGTATCAGGATGATGCTGGCCTCATAAAATGAGTTAGGGAGGATTCCCTCTTTTTCTGCTGATTGGAATAGTTTCAGAAGGAATGGTATCAGCTCCTCTTTGTACTTCTGGTAGAATTTGGTTATGAATCCGTCTGATCCTGGACTTTTTTGGTTGGTAGGCTATTGATTATTGCCTCAATTTCATACCCTGTTATTGGTCTATTCAGAGATTCCACTTCTTCCTGGTTTAGTCTTGGGAGGGTGTACGTGTCCAGGAATTTATCCATTTCTTCTAGATTTTCTAGTTTATTTGCATAGAGGTGTTTATAGTATTCTCTGATGGTAGTTTGTATTTCTGTGGGATCAGTGGTGATATCCCCTTTATCATTTTCTATTGTGTCTGTTTGATTCTTCTCTCTTTTCTTCTTTATTAGTCTTGCTAGTGGTCTATCAGTTTTGTTGATCTTTTCAAAAAACCAGCTCCTGGATTCATTGATTTTTTTGAAGGGTTTTTTGTGTCTCTATCTCCTTCAATTCTGCATTGATCTTAGTTATTTCTTGCCTTCTGCTAGCTTTTGAATTTGTTTGCTCTTGCTTCTCTAGTTCTTTGAATTGTGATGTTAGGGTGTTGATTTTAGATCTTTCCTGCTTTCCCTTGTGGGCATTTAGTGCTATAAATTTCCCTCTACACACTGCTTTAAATGTGTCCCAGAGATTCTGGTATGTTG
Organism: Homo sapiens; assembly: GCF_000001405.40. Lineage (NCBI taxonomy): Eukaryota > Metazoa > Chordata > Mammalia > Primates > Hominidae > Homo > Homo sapiens. Next base: position 32,960,775 of record NC_000009.12, on the reverse strand, counting down.
TGTCTTTGTCCTCATTGGTTTCAAAGAACATCTTTGTTTCTGCCTTCATTTCATTATTTTCCCAGTAGTCATTCAGGAGCAGGTTGTTCAGTTTCCATGTAGTTGTGCAGTTTTGAGTGAGTTTCTTAATCCTGAGTTTTAATTTGATTGCACTGTGGTCTGAGAGACAGTTTGTTGTGATTTCTGTTCTTTTACCTTTGCTGAGGGGTGCTTTACTTCCAACTATGTGGTCAATTTTGGAATAAGTGTGATGTGGTGCTGAGAAAAATGTATATTCTGTTGATTTGGGGTGGAGAGTTCTGTAGATGTCTATTACGTCTGCTTGGTGCAGAGCTGAGTTCAATTCCTGGATATCCTTCTTAACTTTCTGTCTCGTTGATCTGTCTAATATTGACAGTGGGGTGTTAAAGTCTCCCATTATTATTGTGTGGGAGTCTTAGTCTCTTTGTAGGTCTCTAAGGATTTGCTTTATGAATCTGGGTGCTCCTGTATTGGGTGCATATATATTTAGGATAGTTAGCTCTTCTTGTTGAATTGATCCCTTTACCATTATGTAATGGCCTTCTTTGTCTCTTGATCTTTGTTGGTTTAAAGTCTGTTTTATCAGAGACTAGGATTGCAACCCCTGCTTTTTTTTTTTTTTTTTTTTTGCTTTCCATTTGCTTGGTAGATCTTCCTCCATGCCTTTATTTTGAGGCTATGTTTGTCTCTGCATGTGAGATGGGTCTCCTGAATACAGCACACTGATGGATCTTGACTCTTCATCCAATTTGCCAGTCTGTATCTTTTAATTGGGGCATTTAGCCCATTTACATTTAAGGTTAATGTTGTTATGTGTTTATTTGATCCTGTCATTATGATGTTAGCTGGTTATTTTGCTTGTTAGTTGATGCAGTTTCTTCCTAGCATTGATGGTCTTTACAATATGGCATGTTTTTGCAGTGGCTGGTACCAGTCGTTCCTTTCCATGTTTAGTGCTTCCTTCAGGGGCTCTTGCAAGGCAGGCCTGGTGGTGACAAAATCTCTCAGCATTTGCTTGTTTGTAAAGGATATTATTTCTCCTTCACTTATGAAGCTTAGTTTGGCTGGATATGACATTCTGGGCTGAAAATTCTTCTCTTTAAGAATGTCGAATATTGGCCCCCACTCTCTTCAGCCTTGTAGAGTTTCTGCCGAGAGATCTGCTATTAGTCTGATGGGCTTCCCTTTGTGGGTAACCTGACCTTTCTGGCTGCCCTTAGCATTTTTTCCTTCATTTCAACCTTGGTGAATCTGACAATTATGTCTTGGAGTTGCTCTTCTCAAGGAGTATCTTTGTGGTGTTCTCTGTATTTCCTGAATTTGAATGTCAGCCTACCTTGCTAGGTTGGGGAATTTCTCCTGGATAATATCCTGAAGAGTGTTTTCCAACTTGGTTCCACTCTCCCTGTCACTTTCAGGTACACCAATCAGATGTCGATTTGGTCTTTTCACATAGTCCCATATTTCTTGGAGGCTTTGTTTGTTTCTTTTTACTCTTTTTTCTCTAAACTTCTCTTCTCGCTTCATTTCATTCATTTGATCTTCAATCACTGATACCCTTTCTTCCACTTGATCGAATTGGCTACTGAAGCTTGTGCATGCGTCACGTAGTTCTCGTGCCATGGTTTTCAGCTCCATCAGGTCATTTAAGGTCTTCTCTATGCTGTTTATTCTAGTTAGCCATTCATCTAACCTTTTTTCAAGGTTTTTAGCTTCCTTGCTATGGGTTCGAACATCCTCTTTTAGCTTGGAGAAGTTTGTTATTACCGACCTTCTGAAGCCTACTTTTGTCAACTCGTGAAAGTCATTCTCCGTCCAGCTTTGTTCTGTTGCTGGCGAGGAGCTGTGATGCTTTGGGGAGTATAGGCGCTTTGGTTTTTAGAATTTTCAGCTTTTCTTCTCTGGTTTCTCCCCATCTTTGTGGTTTTATCTACCTTTGGTCTTTGATGTCGGTGACCTACAGATGGGGTTTTGGTGTGGATGTCCATTTTGTTGATGTTGATGCTATTCCTTTCTGTTTGTTAGTTTTCCTTCTAACAGTCAGGTCCCTCAGCTGCAGGTCTGTTGGAATTTGCTGGAGGTCCACTCCAGACCCTGTTTGCCTGGGTATCACCAGCGGAGGCTGCAGAACAGCAAATATTACAGAACAGCAAATATTGATGCCTTATCCTTCCTCTGGAAGCTTCGTCCCAGAGGGGCACCTGCCTGTATGAAGTGTCAGTCAGCCCCTACTGGGAGATGTCTCCTAGTTAGGCTACACGGGGGTCAGGGACCCACTTGAGGAGGCAGTCTGTCCTCAGAGCTCAAACGCCATGTTGGGAGAACACAGGTCTCCAGAGCTGTCAGACAGGGACGTTTAAGTCTGCAGAAGTTTCTGCTGCCTTTTGTTCAGCTATGCCCTGCCCCCAGAGGTGGAGTCAACAGAGGCAGCAGGCCTTGCTGAGCTGTGGTGGGCTCCACCCAGTTCAAGCTTCCCCAGCTGCTTTGTTTACCTACTCAAGCCTTAGCAATGGCGGACGCCCCTGCCGCTGCCAGGCTGCTGCCTCACAGGTCGATCTCAGACTGCTGCGCTAGCAGTGAGCAAGGCTCCGTGGGCGTGGGACCCGCCAAGCCAGGCGCGGGATATAATCTCCTGGTGTGCCATTTGCTAAGACCATTGGAAAAGTGTAGTATTTAGGCGGGAGTGTCCCATTTTTCCAGGCACAGTCTGTCATGGCTGCCCTTGGCTAGGAAAGGGAAATCCCCTGACCCCTTGGGCTTCCTGGGTGAGGTGATGCCCTGCCCTGCTTTGGCTCACCCTCTGTGGGCTGCACCCACTGTCCAACCAGTCCCAATGAGATGAACCAGGTACCTCAGTTGGAAATGCGGAAATCACCCGTCTTCTGTGTCGATCACGCTGGGAGCTGCAGACTGGAGCTGTTCCTATTCGGCCATCTTGGAACCAAGCGGAAATTTTTTAATATAAAGTGTTTCCTCCTCTCCCAATGTCCCATGTCCCTAATAATGAGAATTTGTGATTACAATAATTTTAAGAGGAAAGAATACAGTTGCTAGCAGAAAGCCATGCAAATTAGGGAGACTGGAGTGTGAGATCTCCCCCCTCCTCCAGCTGTTTTTCTTCTACTGACAGCTGGCAGCAGGGTGGGGTTACAGGAGCCTCTGCCTTCTCTGGGCTGGATGTGTCAAACCTTTCTAACTCCAAGGAAACCATCAGCAGAGGCCCCCTACTTCCTGCCTGTGTCTGTCTGCCAGTATGCAGACACCATGAGATAGGAGCAGTGCTCAAAGAACTATGCATTTGCTTTGGTATCTTAATCCCAAATCCACTTCAAGATTTGGGGGAAAATGAGCAACCTCCAGTGTTAAGTGTGAAAAGTCAGTTCTTTGTGGAAAGCATGATTGAATTTTCACAATTGAGGAACTTGTCACAGTGTGTGATCTGCCCAGAGGCACTCTCCAAAACACCAAAAATTCTCCAGGAATGTTTTCATCTTTTTGAAACTCCAGTTTGCATTTCCAGGAGCCAGGCTGACCTGTGTGCACAGTGTTCTGTAAAGGCAGTTTGTTTTTTCAGTTAAAGGTGGTGGGAGGAACACTGGAGTGGTGTCCACTGTTGAGAAAGAGATGGGAACTCATTCCTGAAGGAAAGATGGGCGTAGAGAGCATTAGGCTGCCCAGGCATGTGGGCAAGCAGTGAGAACAGAAGTCTTTGGGGACAAAAGTCCTGTGCTAGATTTGCCAAGAGAAATATCAACTGATCTCTTTAAAATGAGATCCCTCCCACCCCCTACATGGGGCCTGGAAAATGTGGTCTGCTAGGTATGGAGACACCAAATAAACAGTACTGAGGCTCCCTGTGTGTCAGTCACCACCCCTGGCAAATGCCAAAATGCCTCACTTTGCTCGAGGAATTTACAACTCAAGGTGTTTGTGTCACAGGCCAAGACGGGAGTGGAGGATCTGTCCATCAGAGGACAGAATGCTTCCCCTATGCCAAGGCGCCTCCTCTTGTATTCACGCACAGCATTTTCCTGAAACTGGTTACTGAGCCTGGAATTTCTGTTAACGTTCAAAGGCAAATGAGAATTACCAAGCTGAGACGAGGGCTGGGGGTATGCTATCTTCCTTTAGTCCCTTTCATAAAAGCCCTTGTGCTGTCCAGCTGCCTTTCTTTCCAGAAGGTGGTGGTCCAGTTTTAATTATGTTAACAGAGGGAGTATAGCTAAAAAACGACTTACTCCATCAAAATCTCTTCCGCTACCAAGAGCACGGAGACCAGCAGGTTTGGCTGTTTGAATCCTCCCTGCTCTGCATGGCTTTTCGGAACCTCGGATCCTTCGCCTTAAACTCAGGGGTTAAAACCCTAAGAATTAAACGAAATAAAGTATCTAAAGTGAGCACAGGGCCTGGCCTAGAGGGTTGAGTTTCCTCCTCCTCCCGGATAAGGGAAGCGGTGATGAGGCCAGGTGGAGCCCGAGGGCCTTCCTCGGAGGCGGTGCGGGCAGCAGGTGAGGGCTGCGCCCGGGAGGGTCCGGGAAGGGTCCCTGGGTGGGGGAGGGGGAAAGGGGCTGCGGCTCCGGCCAGCGGGGAGCCCTGGCCCGCCCTCTCCCTTTTCGGACCTCCGAGGGAGACCGGCCGAGAGCTGGGCCAGGTGGGCTGCACCGAATGGGGAGAAGCGGCTGCGGGAGCCGCGGCGGAATCCTCAGCTGGAGGGCGCCCCAGAGGTCTCCGGGATCCTTGTCTCCCTGGCTCCTTGGTAGGCGCGGGAGGCGCCCATGGGGCTCCAGCCGGGGCCTAGGAGGCGGTGACAGATGGCTGGGGATGGAGGAGGCTAAGCCCCGGGCTTTCTCCCCGGCGCCCGCAGGGGACTTCCAGGCACCCTCGACGGCGGACCGAGCTAGGGCGCGGGGCCGATGGTGCGGGGACCTCCCTGGGCTTTGGGGTCATGAAAGGCTCCCAGACGCTCTGGCCCCGCAGGCGCTGCTCGTCACTGGGACCGGGCTTGGTTCGATCTGGGCAACAGCAGTTACACTGCGGCCGCTGCTCCGCCCAGGCCAGGGCAGTGTGGGGGCGGGGAGGAAGGGGACGCATAGTTTCCTCGGGGCTCCTGTGTGGCCAGCCTAAAAGTGGGGTTTTCGTCGCCTGTGGTGAAATATCTGCGCCTCTTCCATCCTCAGTAACCAGTACTGATTTTCCTTAGCGTCTCCTGTTATCCAAAGCGACCACAACCTACATGACAGCCCCACTAGAAGCTTTGAGGTGACATTCTCTGGAATATCGATTTAGCTGTGCAACACTTGGCAAATTGACTTCCTGTTCCTCGGATTTCTCACTTGTAAAACAGACACTGTAATACCATCTACTTTGTAGGGTGAATGTCAATATTACATGAAATCATGGGAGTAAAGCATTTGGTAGATGGTCACTCAATGAATGTGATGATTATGGCAAGGAGTTGTTTTTCAAGGGAAACTTGCCTGTGAAATTGGTTTAATACATTTATTCATCTGCATTCTTTGTTTCTTTTCTGTCCTAAGTAACTACACAACAATGAGCAGGCTTAAGAAAATATCAACTTTGGTAGATGCTAAATACTGCTTAGGACGAAGTAAGACATCTTTGACAAGGCAAGTCGCTTTTAATTCAAAAGAATTTTGAGAAAAAATAATTTAGCCCCCCTTCCAAAGATAAGAGATTACAGTGGTAGTTTCTATATTCATTAAAAAACTTATGTTTTTAAAATGGAAAAAATGCTCTGACCGGTGACAGGTTTAGGGGAGTTCATTTCACAAGTGTCTGGAGCAACAGTTAACTTCAAGGTCAACGTCCAGACATTTGGCCAGGTAAAGAATCATTTCCCAATCATTTGCTGTGCCAGTGTGGAATGTAAACATGCTGAATAATTGAAAACAGCTGTTGTTACTGTAATAGTCACCCTCTGCGTCCTTTCCTGCTGTTTTCCACGTGCTCTATCCCCCAAATCTAAAAGGCTGTAAGCCAATATCACTAATAGCAAAGGTGGTCATGAGGGCATTTTTCCTCCTTCTGTGACTCATTTCTTTCTGTGTGAGACGACTCCGTAGACACAACACAATTGAGTCTTGCATGTTATCTACCCCTTTATTTAAAACCCAAAGAGGACTTACAAAAAGAGAAGAAATCTCTTTAAAGGTGAACAATGCAGTCAAGTTACTTGCTCACAATCATATTTGTAGGCTAGCTTAAGAGGACTTTGTATTATAATAAAAAGTGTTTCTGAATTGCTTTTTAGTTCATCATCACTGTATTCATTATATATAGCTCTGTTTCTGGAGAAAAACCTAATATATATATATATTTTTAAATGGCATTATCTAATTGCACAGTCATTTTCAGTCATACAAAAGCCAACATTAAAAATGAGCAAAGGGAAATAATTACGACTTGCAGGCTGGGAAGAGGTAAATAATCTGATGTGTAGTTCTTGTGCGTGAGGGATTTAATTAGACATCAACAGAAAAAGAATTTTTTTTCTGAAAAAATATATAATTTAATCCACAATGTGTTTAGCTATAGAGAGTTTTATTGACAGAATTCCTTTAATGTTTTTCTGATTCATTTGGTGCTTAACAAAGGGATTACTTTAGCTCTTGTGTCTTGATTGACTATTGTATGATTCTTTAATCTTTTATTGACTAGTGAAATAAACAAAATAATTATAGTGAGAGATTTTAATATGTGTATATCAAACTTGGACATCTCTGTTAGGGAAGCAGGAGCCTAGAGGAGCCAGGATGATACCATTTTAAAATCACCTCCATCTTGAAACTAGCAAGGCACATTCCTTGCCAGTCATGACCCATGGTCCTTAGATGTTTACAGCTAAAGTAGCAGCTTGTTAACGCCTGCAAGGACACACTCCTACAATAACAGAAAGTCCAGATGTCCTGATATCCATAACAGTATGTGCTTTGAATATAATTGTAGTTATGGTTTGAGGTACTCACACACTAGAATGTCGAGGATAGTTTTATTTAAATCAGTATTACACATTTTGTCATGCTGTCTGCTCACCCTCATGTAGACTCAGCTTAGCTTAGTCTTTATATACATAAGACCCCCTACATAAGAAAAACTTAAAGCAAAGATGGTGCGTTCCTCTGCTTGCCTTCTGAGGGTGCTGTACTCTGGAAGGGAGTAGCTTCTAAATAACTTGCTTCTTTCACTGCACTCTGTGACTCACCTTGAATTCCTTCCTGCGTGAGACCCAAGAACCCTCTCTTGGGGTCTGGATCAAGACTCCTTTTCCGGTAATGAATCCAGGAGGCGAAAAAATAAGGACATTTAGGAATCGAGCAATTCAGTAAACATTTGTGTGTGTGTGTGCACCCACGTGCATACATACACTTACGTGTAGAGGATCTAGAAAGATCTTTATATTCTTTGAATAGAGAAGATACACATTTCCCATATGATCATAGTACCTTTAAAATAGTTGATCCCATATTTGGCCACAAAGAAATTCTTTTTCTTTTCTTCCCCTGGAGATAGGGTCTCCCTCTGTCACCCAAGCTGGAGTGCAGTGTCACGATCATAGCTCACTGTAACTTCAAACTCCTGGACCCAAGCAATTCTCCCGCCTCAGCCTCCTGAGTAGCTAGGACTATAGGTGCATGGCACCATGTCCAGCTAATTTCAATTTTTAAATTTTTTGTCGAGATGAGGTCTCACTATGTTACCCAAGCTGGTCTCAAACTCCTACCCTAAAGTGATTCTGATCCTTCCCCACCCCACCAGCCTCCCAAAGTGTTGGGATTACAGGTTTGAGCCACCACACCTGGCCTAAGCAATTCTTGATACATTAAAAAATAGAAGAGGTATACCACAGGCCATGATATGGCTTGGATCTGTGTCCCCACCCAAATCTCATGTTGAATTGTAATCCCCAGTGTTGGCAGTAGGGCCTGGTGGGAGGTGGTTGGACATGGGGGCAGTTTCTCACGAATGGTTTAGCACCATTCCTCTAGTGCTGTTCTGCTGATAGAGTTACCATGAGATCTGGTTGTTTAAAAGTGTGTAACACCTCCCACCCTGCTCCTGCTCCAGCTGTGTAAGGCGTGCCTGTGTCCCCTTTACCTTCTGACATGATTGAAAGTTTCCTGAGGCCTCCCAAGAAGCTGAACAGGTGCCAGCATCATGTTTCCTTTACAGCCTGCAGAACTGGGAGCAAGTGAAGCCTCTTCTCTTTATAAATTACCCGGTCTCATGTAGTTCTTTTTTTTTTTTTTTTTTGGAGATGGAGTTTTCGTTCTTGTTGCCCAGGCTGTAGTGCAATGGCACAATCTCAGCTCACTGCAACCTCTGCCTCCCAGATTCAAGCGATTCTCCTGCCTCAGCCTCCCGAGTAGCTGGGATTACAGGGGCATGCCACCAGGCTGGCTAATTTTATTTATTTATTTATTTTTTGTATTTTTAGTAGAGACAGGGTTTCACCCATGTTGACCAGGCTGGTCTCGAACTCCTGACCTCAGGTGATCTGCCCACCTCGGCCTCCCAAAGTGCTGGGATTACAGGCATGAACCACTGCTCCCGACCATCAGGTAGTTCTTTATTAGCAGTGTGAGAATGGACTAATACAGGCCACAGTATTTGAACATAATTAAAATTATAAATTAATAATTTAAAAAGTATCTAAAAATCTTGACCATTTGGATGTGAAGAATTATACTGCCAGATAACTTTTGGATTATTACAGAAATCAATGCTGAACTTGCACGCTTAGTAATGTAAAGTCTAACATTTTATACAAGAATCTGTAGGATATAGCAAAAGCTATTTTCAGAATAAAGTAGATTGATTTAAATAGCTTTCATTGTACAGACAAGAGACTGAAGATAAACTCATCTTAAGAACTTAGAAAAAATATGTAAAAAATAAAGAGAAATTTAACCAAGAGAAATTAGGAAAAGGGAAGTTACAAAATTAAGGCCAAAATTAACAAAATAGAAAGCAAAAACTATGTACCAAAAGGTCATATAGGCCGGGCGCAGTGGCTCATGCTGGTAATTCTAGCACTTTGGGAGGCCAACGCGGGCGGATCACGAGGTCAGGAATTCCAGACTAGCCTGACCAACATGGTGAAACCTCGTCTGTACTAAAAATACAAAAATTAGCTGGGCGTGGTGGCACGCGCCTGTAATCCCAGCTACTCGAGAGGCCGAGGCAGGAGAATCGCTTGAACCCAGGAGGCGGAGGTTGCAGTGAGCTGAGATTGCGCCACTGCACTCCAGCTTGGGCAGAGCAAGACTCTGTCTCATAAAAAAAAAAAAAAAAGTTATTTAAATTCAGAAGTTGGTTTTTTTGAAAAGAGCAATAAAGTAAATAAACTCATCACTAACCAGGTTAAAGAAAAAAGAAAGCACAATTATATGATATTTTGAGTAAGAAAGAGACATAACTGAAGGGGGCCTGCCCCTCCACACGTGTGGGTATTTCTCGTCAGGTGGGACGAGAGACTGTGAAAAGAAATAGGACACAGAGACAAAGCATAGAGAAAGAACAGTGGGCCCAGGGGACCGGCACGCTCAGCATGCGAGGACCTGCACCGGCACTGGTCTCTGAGTTCCCTCAGTATTTATTGATCATTATTTTTACTGTCTTAGCAAGGCAAGTGTAGCAGGGCAACAGGTGAAGGTCAGCAGGGAAACATGTAAGCAAAGGAATCTGTATCATGAATAATTTCATGGAAAGGTACTGTGCCTGGATGTGCACATAGGCCACATTTATGTTTCACTTTACACAAACATCTCAGTGTAGCAAAGAGTAACAGAGCAGTATTGCTGCCAGCATATCTCGCCTCCAGCCACAGGGTGGTTTTCTCCTATCTCAGAATAGAACGAATGGGAATGGTCGGCTTTAAACCGAGACATTCCATTCCCAGGTATGCGCAGGAGACAGAAGCCTTCCTCTTATCCCAACTGCAAAGAGGCCTCCCTCTTTCACTACTCCTCCTCAGCACAGACCCTTCAGGGATGTCGGGCTGGGGGATGGTAAGGTCTTTCCCACAAGGCCATATCTCAGGCTGTCTCGGTTGGGGGAAACCTTGGACAATACCCAGGCTTTCTTGGGCAGAGGTCCCTGCGGCTTTCCGCAGTGCATTGTGTCCCTGGTTAATCGAGAATGGAGAATGGTGATGAATTTTACCAAGCATACTGCCTGCAAACATATTGTTAACAAGAAACATCCCGCACAGCCCTAAATCCGTTAAAGTTTGATTCAATACAGCACATGTTTCTGTGAGCACAGGGTTGGGGCTAAAGTTACAGGTTAACGGCATCTCAAAGCAAAACAATTTTTCTTCGTACAGATCAAAATGGAGTTTCTTATGTCTTCCTTTTCTACATAGACACAGTAACAATCTGATCTCTCTTTCTTTTCCCCACGCATAACCACAGAAATAGAAAAGGTTAAAAATGATTTAAAGAGAATGTTGGTTGGGCATAGTGGCTCACATCTGTAATCCCAACACTTGGTGAGGCTGAGGTGGGCAGATTGCTTCAGCCCAGGAGTTTGAGACCATCCTGGGCAACATAGGGAGAACCCCCATCTCTATAAAAAATTTAAAAATTAGCTGGGTTTAGATGGCATACACCTGTAGTCCCAGCTACTTGGGAGGCTGAGGTGGGAGGATTGCTTGAGCCCAGCAGGTCAAGGCTGCAGTGAGCTGTGATCACACCACTGCACTCCAGCCTGGGCAACAAAACTGTCTCAAAAAAAAAAAAAAAAAAAGAGAGAGAGAGAGTGTTAACTTGAACTCTAACTATTTGGAAATATTGAGGATTTCCTAGCAAAATATAAATGAATAAAAGTGACATAAAGAGAAGCTGAAAACTTGAACAGACTCATTACCATAAGAGGTTGGAGAAATGATTATAGCTCTATCCTTAAAAAAGAGCTGGTGCCAGGTGATTTCCCAGCTCAATGTGACCTGACTATTTTTTAAAAAGCAGGTAATACAGTGTTATTTAAACCAGTACATATCAAACATCAATAGGAATCACCTGGAAATCTTGTTAAACTGCACACTGTGATTCAATAGGTCTGAGGTGGAACCTGAAATTCTGTATTTCTTAAAAGCTGTCAGACGGTGATGCTGATGTTACTGGTCCATGCTCTTTGCACTGCAAGGATTTAAATGACTCAAGACCATAAAACAGGCCGGGCGGTGGTTCACACCTGTAATCCCAGCACTTTGGGAGGCTGAGGTGGGTGGATCACTTGAGGTCAGGACTTCCTAACCAGCCTGGCCAACATGGTGAAACCCTGTCTCTACTAAAAATACAAAAATTAGCAGGGCATGGTGGCTGTGCACCTGTAATCCCAGCTCCTTGGGAGGCTAAGGCAAGAGAATCCCTTGAACCTGGGAGGCGGAGGTTTCAGTGAGCCAAGATCACACCATTGCACTCCAGCCTGGGCGACAGAGCGAGACTCCATCTGAAAAAACAAACAAACAAACAAAACAACAACAACAACAACAACAACAACCCATAAAACAGCATGGAAAGCTCCTTTAATAAAGCCAGCACAGCTTTCATAGTTCAATCAGGTACAGAGGATGCAAAGAAAAGGGTATCATAGACTAATTTCACTTGCACATGCATTCAGCAAATGTTTATTGAGCACCTACTAAGAATGTCTGTTACTGTTCTAGGGGCAGGGAATATAGCAGGGAACAAAACAGGTTAAGTCCCTGTTCTCTTGAGATTACTTATTGTGATACTAGCAAAAAGCTCCCTTGGCATCTCTGGAGTAGTAAGAATATCTTTTATATGCCAATGAGGTGACTGGTGGCTGGGAGCCCCTAGAGATCTTCAGGATGAGGGCTGGTCACTGGAAAGGCCAAGGCATGATTAGAGGGCTCCAACTTCCAGCCCCACCCTCCAGCCTCTAGGGAGAGAAGAGGGGCTGAAAGTTGAGTTGATCACCAATGGGTAGTGATGTAATCAGGTATGAAGCCTTCATAAAAACGAAAAGACAGGGTTCAGAAGAGCTTCTGGATAGCTGAACATATGGAGTTTCCTGGAGGGTGGCACCCCAGAAGGGCATGGAATCTCTGCTTCCCTTCCCACATGCCTTGTGGTATGCATCTCTTCCAGCTGGCTGTTCATCTGTATCCTTTATAATAAATGGGTCAATGTAAGTAAGTGTTTCCCTGAGTTCTGTAAGCTGCTTTAGCAAATTAATTGAATCCCAGGAGGGAGTTGTGGAAACCGTGACTTAGAGCTGGTTGGTCAGAAGCACAGGCCACAATCTGTGCTTGCAACCAGCATCTGCAGTGGTGGGGGCAGTCTTGTGGGACTGAGCCCTCACCTGTGGGATGCAATCTCCAGGTGGATAGTGTCAGAGTTAAATTGAATTGGCAGCCATCTAGCTGGTGTCCACTGGAGAATCATCTGCAGAACTGTCTTGGTGTGTGGGGAAAAACCCACACATCCGGTGTCACAAATGTTGAGTGACTCTGCGGGAGTCGAGAGTAGAAAAAACACTTAGGTTATTTATGTAACCTTACACTTATTAATACAGATGCAAAAATTCTAAATAAAGTATTAATAAAAATCAAGTTATATAATAATAATATACTGCTATAGAGTATTTTAATTATGCCCTATTCTATATATTTCAGGTGTACAGGCTGGTTCACTATCAAGACATCTATTACCGTTAGTAATGAATTATGATAATACTATAAAGGAAAAACCATATGATCCTGTCAATATACACTGGAGGAACATTTTATAAAATTTAATAGCCATTCCTAATAAAAATTCTAAGCCAATAGGGTGTGATGACTTTTCTATTAAAAACAAGTCTAAGTAACAATACAAGGAAACTACTTATCTAGGATAAGGACTGTATCTCTAAACCCAATAGCAAACATTGTTCTAAATAGCAAAACTCTGAAATCATTTCATTGAAATCAGAAATTAGAAAAGGATGTCCATGTGCTATTATTATGTTACATTGTCAAAGTAAGGTAAGAAAATAATTGCCATAAACTTTGAAGAAGACGAAATAAAACTATTTATGTTTGTCTATGTGACTTCATTGTTTGCCTAGAAAACTCGAGGGACTTTAGTAATAAACTATTTGAATTGTAGGTCATTTTGGAAAAGTGGGCAGATGCAAGATAAATATACAAAAAGCACCAACTTCTCTCCGTATTAGCAGTAAGTACTTTGAAAGGAAATTAGAAAACTATTTTATTTTCTACAGTTTTATACAAGCTTAAAATACTTAGGAGTGTAATTTAAAAAAATCTTTTAATTGTCATTTTATAGCTCCCCACCGCAGCTGCCCCCACCCTTCCCTTCGATGACGACGTTTGCAGGGTTCAGGGCGACCAGGGAACAAAGCTGGGGCCTGGCAGACCCACTATGCTGCCAGCTGGAGAAAACAAGTCACAATGACAAATTATCACAATTAGCACCTGTACTTGGGGGAAAAAATCTGCAAATTGGGGAAGCCCCAGCTCCTCATTGTACAGGGGTCTGTTTGGCAGTGACCTTGCTCTGGAGATGACATTCCTTCAGCCTGAGGGAATCGACGTTGATGAACCCGTGGCATCAATCGGCTCATAATCCCCCTGCACGTTCATGCTCACCAGCTCCTCGTTGTAGAGAGACAGTGGGGACTCCCGACCGAGGATATACACCTGGCCCTTGAGGACAGACACCTGCACTTTCCCTTCCACTCATTCCTGGGACTTGGCATTACAGTGGCGGACAAATTCACACTCAGGGCTATGCCAGAAACCGGTATACACCAGCTCAGCAAATTTCAAGCTCAGGCCTTGTTTGATTTTGCGCACTTCTCGGTACATGGTGAAGGCCTTGATGTCTAAATGAGTGTGGTGAAGGATGGTCCCTGCTGGGGCCTCGCAGATACCTCAGGACTTCATTCCAATGAAGCGGTTCTCCACGATGTCAATACGGCCCACGCCGTGCTTGCCTGCAACTTCATTCAGGTACACGAAAAGCTCCAAGGAGGTCTGGTGGGTGGTGCCATCCTTGACGTTGGTCACCTTCACGGGGACCCCTTTTTTGAACTTGATCTCGAGAATGTCAGGGGTGTTGAGGGCTTTGGCTGGGTCCTGGGTCTTCATGTAGAGACCTGGAGGCACTTGGTTCTTGGGGTTCCAGGATTCCAGCCTCATAGCTGATGTGCATGAGGTTCTCGTCTATGCTTCACGGGCTCTGGGGAGTGACTGGAATGGGAACCCGATGTTGCTTTGCCTATTTCATCAGGTCATTGCAGCCCTTGAACCGGTTGTAGAACTCGGGCATCCTCCAGGGAGCGGTGACCTTTATCTGGGGGGCCAGCAAATAGCAGGTGAGCTCAAACCGGACCTGATCATTTCCTTTTCCCGTGGTGCCGTGGAACACATACTTGGCCTCCTCCTGCTTGGCGATTTCCACTTGTTTGCCGGCGATGCCGGGCCTGGCCAGAGAGGTGCCCAGGAGGTAGCGGTTCTCATACAGTGCGCTGGACTGGATGGCCGGCCAGATGAACTCCTCCACAAACTCCCTGCTGGCATCCTCAATGAACACCTTTTTGGTCCCAAGCTTCAGTGCCTTCTTCCAGGCTTCCTCGAAGTCTTCCTTCTGGCCAGTGTTGGCCAGGTAGGCAATGATGTCATAGCCTTGTTCCTTCAGCCACACGAGGATGCAAGAGGTGTCCGGGCTGCCACTGTAGGCCAGAACCACTGAGCCTTTGCTGGACATAGCATCTGGGATTGGAGGCTCGAGTTCCTGGCATCTGCCATCTGTCTTCATGGTACGGTGAACCACTCGGGCTCAGGGAGCGGTGGCAGGCGACAGAGCAGGGAGTATAATTTCAAAATACCAAACCATCCACAAAAACCCAGAGAATAGTACCCATAACCAGCTTCAACAATCGTCAATATTCTGCCCTTCTTGTTTCATCCTGCCTCTCCACCTTACCTACTGTAGTACTACTTTAAAGCAAATTTCAGAAATCAAAATAGTTTCACCTTGACAGTAAAATTAATAAGATATAAGACCTATTTAAAGTTATAAAAGCTCAATTAAAATTATAAATGTTATCTGAACAAATGGAAAGACATCTCATGTTCTTTAATGACTTGGAAACATAAAATCTATTTAAAGATTTTTAAAAATTTATTTATTTATTTATTTTCAGAGACAGGGTCTTGCTCTGTTGCCCAGGCTGGAGTGCAGTGGCAGGAGCATAGCTGTACTGCAGCCTCATACTCCTGGGCTCAAGGGATCCTCCTGCCTTAGTTTCCCAAGTAATAAGGAA
Organism: Homo sapiens; assembly: GCF_000001405.40. NCBI lineage: Eukaryota > Metazoa > Chordata > Mammalia > Primates > Hominidae > Homo > Homo sapiens. Next base: position 32,945,436 of record NC_000009.12, on the reverse strand, counting down.
TACAGGCACGCACCACTATACCCAGCTAATTTTTTTTAAAGACGAGGCCTTGCTATGTTGCCCAGGATGGTCTCAAACTCCTGGCCTCAAGAGATCCTCCTGCCTTGGCCTCCTGAAGTGTTAGGATTAGAGGCATGAGCCACGGTACCCAGGCCTGAATTTTTAAATATAAACCCAAAAGCACAGGCAACAAAAGTAATAATAGACAAATGGGATTGTATCAAACTAAAAAGCTTCTGCACAGCCAAGGAAATAATCTACACAGTTAAGAGACAACCTACAGAATGGGAGAAAATATTTGCAAACCATACATCTGATAAGGGATTAATATCTAAAATAATAAGGAACTGAAACAACTCAATTGTAAGAAAACAAATAATGCAATTAAAAAATGGTCAAAGGATTTGAATAGACATTTGTCAAAAAAAGACAAACAAGTGACCAAGCACAGTTATCTTTTGGGATCTGTAGGGGATTAATTCCAGAACACCCTGCGGATACCCAAATCTGCTGATGCTCAAGTCCCTGATATAAAATGATAACAGTATTTGCATATAACCTACACACATCCTCCCATATACTTTTATTTTTTTATATAAAGACGGGGCTTCACCATGTTGGCCAGGCTGGTCTTGAACTCCTAGTCCCAAGTGATCCTCCCGTCTCGGCCTCCCAAAATGCAGTGATTACAGGTGTGAGACATCATGCCCAGCCCCCTCCCATATACTTTAAATCATCTCTGGATTACTTATAATACCTAATAAAATGTAAATGCTATATATGAATACTATCCAGCTTCAAGAAGGAAGGAAATCCTGCCATTTGTGACACCCTGGATGAATCCAGAGGACATTATATTAAGTGAAATAAGTCAGATACAGAGAGACAAATACTGCATAATCTCGTTTGTACGTGAATTCTAAAGAAGTTGAACTCATAGAAGCAGAGAGTGGAATAGTGGTTATCAGGCTGAGAATTGGGCGTTGGGGAGATGTTGGTCAAAGGATACAAAATTTCAGTTAGGAGGAATAAATTCAGGAGATCTATTGTACGGTATGGTGAATACAGTTAATATCAATGCATTGTGTTCTTGAAAATTGCTAAAAGATTAGATTTTAAGTGTTCTTACCTCAAAAAAAATAGGTATGTGAAGTAATACGTTAATAAGCTCAATTTAGCTACCCCACAGTGTATACATATTTCAAAACAATATATTGTACACAATAAATTATATAATTTTTGTCAATTAAAAATATTAGAAAAAAATACATTGGGCCAGGCATGATGGTTTATGCTTGTAATCCCAGCACTTTGAGAGGCGGAGGCAAGAGGAACTCTTGAGGCCAGGAGTTCAAGTCCAGCCTGGGCAACATAGACCCAGTCTCTACAAAAATTAAAAAACTAGGTGAGTGTGATGGCATGTGCCTATAGCCCCAGCTTACTCAGGAGGTTGAAGTGGGAGGATCACTTGAACCCAGGCGATCAAGGCTGCAGTGAGCCATGTTCATGCCACTCCACTTTAGCCTGGGCAGTACAGCCAGAGCCTGTCTCAAAAAACAAAAACAAAAGTAATTGGTTACCTCAGAGGGGTAGGTTTGGAAGATGTGGGGTATGGACGGGGCTGATTAAGTTTTTTTTTTTTTTAATATATCCCTGTATTGCTTCATTTTGTGCACAATCTTTAATACTTTTATAATACAAAAAAGAGAAATTTTAAAAATGTGTTTGCTCTATCTCCAATGTCTAGAACAGTGTTTGGCACATATTTGGCATTCAATAAATGTTGGTTGCATAAATAAACAAATGGATTTTGTTAACATTTGTTGAGTACCTGCAGCGTGGTAGGCATTGGACAGCAGGTACTGCCTCGTATTTGTGTGGTCTATAAACCATTTGAGTTAATTGGATTCTGGTATATCAGAGAGCAAACTACATGCCTTCAAACATAACAAACGGAGACAAAGTTACAGCTACTCCTCTAGCTAAAGACACTACCCCTGCTCTCTGAGTGCATCATAAGGATCCTACTGATGTTTATTTCATATCTTTGATATACAGGCACACACCGTCCACACTTCAGGCAATCATTTACACACTGAGTGGGAGTGTGATAAGGGCATGTGGAGTAGGAGAAGTTTTCTGATCCGAACTTTACTGACTGCGCTAGAAAACCCTGATGATATCCTTTCCAGTGTTTCTAAGAACAATTCTTCCATTTCTAAGCATGATTCTTCCATTTCTAAGCAGCATGTTGTCTGTTTACTTATGATTATTTTTTACTTGTTATCTGTAAATGTTGGGGTGATCAGACCCAACACCAGGTCGTGGGGGCAACGAAGTCCTGCTGAGTCAAAGGAATGAGAAAAAGACAGTTTGAGAGAGAAAGTCGGACCAGGGGGCCATCCTGAGTGTGGAGCCTGTGAAGGCCCAGAGCTTTGGGAGCCCACACTATTTAGTGGTGCTCAAACAAAGAAACAGGTGGTGAGGATGTGGGGGTTGAAAGGAAACAGTGTATCAAGTGAATGAAAAACATATGGCGGCTTGAGATAATGGGAGTGCTAGAAGCAAGGAGCCAAGCAAGTCTAGCAGACATGCAAGCCCTGCCTCAGCTTCTCTCCGGACACTCAGCTTTTTCTCCCAACAGTAAATAAGGTTCTTTTTTATTTAAAAATAAGTAACAATTTATTTTCTTTTCAGAAATTTGGCTCAGTTGACAGGGTTGAGTTTCTGCAGTGATTGCTGAATTATTAATTAATTAATATTATTATTTGAGACAGAGTCACTCTGTCACCTAGGCTGGAGTGCAGTGGTGTGATCTCAGCTCACTGCAACATCTGCCTCCCCAGTTCAAGTGATTCTCCTGCCTCAGCCTCCCAAGTAGCTGGGATTACAGATGTGTGTCACCATGCCCAGCTAATTTTTGTATTTTTAGTAGAGACAGGGGTTTCACCATGTTGGCCAGGCTGGTCTCGAACTTCTGACCTCAGGTGATCCACCCACTGTGGCCTCCCAAAGTGCTGGGATTACCCACATGAGCCACCATGCCTGGCCCAGCTTCTTATCTGGTCTTTTTGTCTCCCTGCTGTTGCCACCTTCTACCCCCTTCAAATCCACACTCTACAGCTTCTAGGGATTATTTTTTTGAAAACGCAAATCTAACCATGTATATCAGACACATCTTCCCTACCTCTGTAGATTCTCTCAGCTTGATCAATTTCACAGACCCTTGGATTATTGTTCTATGCAAGCCCCTGCAATTCCACTTGAGGCCGACCAACCATACTCTTGGCTTCTCCCCTACTTCTGGGTAAAGAAGTCAGGGTTAAATCCTCTGGGGCAACTTTGACGAGCAGGAGAAAGGAGTCCCTTCCATGGACTTGTCCGGGGCACGGTTTTCCCACATACCCTGTCCAGGGACATCTTGTGTGGCCAAGCAGTGTACTTTTTAGCTTTTGAGTAAAGCTAAAATGGGCTTTGCCTCTTTATGGCTTGTCATAAAGCAGTAAGCAGTTGCATTTGTTTTCAATTCTTCCTTCACTTCACTGCTCTGAGGCTTTACTTCCCAATAAAATTTTAGCACCTTAATCCTACCCTTAAGCTCTGTTTTCTAGGGAACTTGGGCTAAGATATGAAGTTATTTTCTGCTTGAAAAGCTTTCCTTGGCTCTTTATTGCTTCCAGAAGTGTTTATGGGGATGGGGACAGCCGTTTGGAGATTAGTAGGATTTCTTTTCTAGTAGGTATGGGTGTGTCTGAGCATAGTATTTTATTTAATTACTTTGCTTTTTTTCCTTTATATTAAAGATATTGTATTATTAAAAATTAGGAGTGCAGATAGGTTACGTGATCCATGATTTTCACTTCAGGATAGTAAAGGGCAAGCTACAGAATCTTTCAATAGAAAGGGGACATTGGTAGAGACAGGGTTTCACCATGTTGGCCAGGCTGGTCTCAAACTCCTGATCTCAGGTGATTCACCTGCCTTGGCCTCCCAAAGTGCTGGGATTACAGGCATGAACCACATCCACCATGCCCAGCCTTGTCTCTGCTAAAAATACAAAAATTAGCTGGGTGTGGTTGTAGGCATCTGTAATCCCAGCTACTTGGGAGGCCGAGGCAGGAGAATCTCTTGAACCTGGGAGGCAGAGGTTGCAGTGAGCTGAGATTGTGCCACTGCACTCCAGCCTGGGTGACAAGAGCGAAACTCGGTCTCAAAAAAAAAAAAAAAAAAAAAATGGAGACATTGGGTGTAACAGGATTGAGTGAGACTTCTGATTACAGGGTCTGGTCCGAATCGCTCAATTTGACATACCTGGTCTCCCTGGTCTACTGTTGCCCCCTCTGCAGCCTTGTATCCTACTGCATTCTTCTTCCAGCCCTCAAGGTCCAAGACAGAAGCATCTGCCCTCTGGGTAGCAGGATGAATGAACAGATGAAGGGTGTCAAGGGCTCACACAGATTATCTGTTAAGAAGGTTCTTGGAAATTCCGCATGACTCTCTCCTTACTTTTCTGTGGGCAGAAAGCCCATGTGACTCCACATGGCCTCATGTGACTAAGCTTTATGGGAGGCTGTGAAATATGCACTTTATTTTGGGCAACTACATGTCCAATTAAAATTTTTATTATTATGGAAGGAGGACAAAATGAAAATTGGAGATGTTGAAAAGTCTCTGCCAATGTTCCTTTGCACAAGAAAAAAAATCGAGTTGCCTCTCTTTTTCTTTTTGACTTATTTATTACTTATGTTGCAAATATGTTACAGATTTAGATGTTTCAATCTTTTAACTTCATTTGAAGATTTCTCTCATTATACAAAGTTTAACAATTATGCAACTCTGTGGTCCCCAACCTTTTTATTCCTACCAGGAACCAGTTTTGTGGAAGACAGTTTTTCCATGGACTGGTGGTGATGGTTGGTGGGGTATGGATGGTTTCAGAATAAAACTGTTCCACCTCAGATCATCAGATATTAGGTTCTCATGAGGAGCACACAACCTAGATCCCTCGCATGCACAGTTCACAATAGGGTTCACACTCTCATGAGAATCTAATGTGGCTGCTTATCTGACATCAGGCAGTAATGCTCCATTGCCTCACCTCTTTCTGTGAGACCCAGTTCCTGATAGGCCACAGACCCGCAGTCTGGGGGTTGGGGACCCTGATGTAGCTAAATTAGGCATTCTTTCCTTTTTTTCTTCATTGTTTCTGGATGTTTGTGTTTTGCTTAAATAGGCCTTTCCTGTCCATATGTTCTTACATTTTTTTCTGGTAATTTTATACTTTTGTCTTTTGACTTGAAGTCTTTATCATATCTGGCATTTTTTTTTTGGATGGTATAGTGTGAGGTAGGGATGCATCTTTATTTTTTTCAATTTTTACCTAATTGCTACAACTTATTTATTAAACTAGGCTTCATTTCTCATTCCTTTGAAATGCCATGTTTATGGTAAGTTAAATTCCAATACATATGAGTCTGTTATGGACTCCCTGTTCTGGTTCCATTGAGCAATTACTCAACTCATATCACAATTTTTATTACTATAATTTTCTAGAAATTATTTTTTTTAACTTTAGGTATAGGATCTCACTATGTTGCCCAGACTTGTCTTGAACTCCTAGGCTCAATCTTCCTGCCTCAGCCTCTGAGTAGCTGGGAGTACAGGCATGAGCCAACACGCCTGCCTTGTAGAAATTCTTTATTCTCCCTTCCTTTTCTTCTCCTCTTCCTCCCTACTTTTGTCTTTCCTACTTCCGTTTAACCTAGCCAAGCTAATACAGTACCCCCATGAAGATGAGGCAAGCAGGTGCATGCTTCATTCTCTATCTTCTCAACTATAGCTTCTTCTGTACCTTTCCTACTCATCACCTTTCCATTTCTTTGGTGCCCAGTATCATGCCTTCTAGGTCTTGCATTGTGTGGAAATTCTAGAATTAATAGGATTGCTACTTGTAGTTCAAACTTTTTTTTTTTTTACACTTCTTTTTGGACCTGCATTATGCAAAATCTTCTGTTTTTCTCTATTGCTGGAATTAAAAATTCTCTTTAGGTTCTCTGAAGATGTAAAAACATCACTGACACCAGGATATATGGATTCACCTCTTTCTTTATTTCCTCCTTTATTCATCTTCTTTGACTGCCTGATTGGTTTCTTCAGGAAGGATGAAGCTCTTCTCTGACGTAGTGAGTGGGTGAATCTCAGAATTATGTGGCACATGAATGAGTTACATGGTGCTCAGTAGTCCCATATGGTCTTGTGAACAATTTGTTGCCCCAGATTCTGGCTGAATTTGTCCTGGATGCAGATAATAAGGAAGTTCATGTGACTCATAATGATGAGAAATAGGAGCATCCCTCCTTATGTTCCACCTCCCAGGGCTCTTTGGACTATTCTACTGTGACCTACCTTGACTTTCTCTATGGTCACGGCCTATCTGAACAGTGTTCTTTTTCTTAAACATTTTATTAGCTCAGCCGGGTGCGGTGGCTTACATCTGTAATCCCAGCACTTTGGGAGGCTGAGGCGGGTGGATCACAAGGTCAGGAGTTCAAGACCAGCCTGGCCAACATAGTGAAACACCGCTTCTACTAAAAATACAAAAATTAGCTGGGCATGGCCTATAGTCCCAGCTACTTGGGAGGCAGAGGCAGGAGAATCGCTTGAACCCGGGAGTCGGAGGTTGCAGTGAGCCGAGATTGCACCACTGAACTCCAGCCTGGCAACACAGCAAGACTCTATCTCAAAACAAACAAAACAAACAGAAAACATTTTATTAGCTCAAATAGTTACTCTTCCAGATGAATGTTCTATGCAACTTGTCAGATTCTATTTTAAAAAATTAGGATTTTCCTTTGATTATTTTTAATTTATCAATTAATGGGAGGGGTATTGCCCATATTAACCGTGTTGGATTATCAGAACAGATTTTGATGCCAAGAGCTGGGACTGTAGTGGGTTTTGTGTGTGTGTGTGTGTGTGTGTGTGTGTGTGTGTGTCTAGAATGGTGGTGGTGGGAGGTAAGCATGGAGGGCTTTCCTTTATAGTGTCATTTTCATAGCAATTTTAGAGGGAAAAGTAAATTTGCTGGCTCACTCTGCCATCGTGGACTAGAGGCTCTGATAACTTTTATGAGATAAAACAATCTATATTTAAAAAGGATTCAAGGCCAAATAAGCCAATACAGTTTAGTTTACCTTAAAATGTTAATACATTATAAAGTCACTGAATAATACACATGGAAAAGTTGCCATAGTAACAGTCATTTTCATGAAGTGGATTTAGATACTAAATTCTTGAGTGATGGCATGCCTTGTTATTTGCTTTAAGGCATCTTTAGTACTCTTTCTTGTCTCCTTGGGGAATAGAAAATGGGAAAGGGACTTGCACCTGATACAGTTCTGTGGTTGAAAGCCACAGAATTCAATTTTGGCTTATTTAAGTTGAAAATGTATTGGTAGGATGAAGGGATGGTTCATAGAGTTAAAGGAAATGTGGAAGAGAGGGAATTCAGAGAGGGGCTTTGGAGGGATCAGAAATTTGGAGCAACTCTGAGGACCTGGGGATCAGTAATCATGGGACAGCTTCTGGTATGGTTAGGCTTTGTGTCCCCACCCAAATCTCATCTTGAATTATAATCCCCACAATCCCTACGTGTCAAGGGAGAGACCAGGTGGAGGTAATTGAATCATAGGGGCAGTTTCCCCCATGCTGTTCTCATGATAGTGAGTTCTCATGAGATCTGATGGTTTTATAAGGGACTCATCCCCCTTCACTTGGCACTTCTCCTTCCTGCTGGCTTGTGAAGAAGGTGCCTTGCTTTCCCTTTGCCTTCCACCATACCATGATTGTAAGTTTCCTGAGGCCTCCACAACCATGCTGAACTATGATCAATTAAACCTCTTTCCTTTTTAAATTATCCAATCTTGGGCAGTTCTTTACAGCAGTGTGAAAATGGACTAATACAGCCTCTTTAGGGCAAACATAAGGATGAGTGAGCTCTTACTATTTTCAATTTTGTTTCCCTACATTTGGAGTTCAAATTCCAGGGAGGTTCTGATCTGCCTGATTTGAAAAAAAATTCTGTGTGTGTACACACACACACACCCATACACACACACTTTTCTTTTTTCTTGTAGAGCGGATTCTTGCAGAGAAATTGTTCTAGTGGCTCACAGCTCTTTCAGATTATAAATAGTAAACCACAGGTAATAGACTAGGGATGATTATACAAAAAATGCCAGTTTCAAATGGAGAAACACATTATGCTGGAACAGCTTCATTTCTGTATGTGATTTTTCTTAAAACTTGTCATTCTCTTGGACTTCTTGTATCTTTCATGTATCTATGTGTTCCTGCTGTCTTATCTTCTTGCTCTTCATTTCTGATTTTCGTCAGCAAATTTCAATTGTGAAGATGCTGTGCTTTATGATGTTCTTTTCCAGGGACTGCCACTGTGGCTCCTTCCCTAGCCCTTCCTCTGTCCTAGGCAATGTCCAAAATGCTACACATTTCTAGATCTCACTTTTCCCCTTCCTTCTGTCCTCTTCCTTTAGTGTCTTACTTTTAAGACCAGTTAAATATTAAAACAGAAATGTCACCGTATAACTGGTTAACAGTGAGTTAATGTTACCTTTGACAGATTGTATTTTTGTTCACAATTCTTCAACCCTCCTATGTCCCTGCCTTTTGCTATGGGACTTTTTGTTTCCTCTCACTAGGGAGGGACTATATTTCCCTGTCCTATTGATGTTGGGATTGGCCATGTGATTTGCTTTGGCCAATGGGATGTCAGCGAACATGATGTTGGCAAAGGCTTAAAATATGCTTGTGGGTTTTGGCTTGCCCTCTTGTGCTTCTGCATTGCCATGAACATTTCTTGGTTTTCTGCTGTTCCCAATAGAAAGTGTGGCATATGGAGCAGGGCTGCCCCAACTGACTCGCACACCCACAGCCTGAGGCTGAGCTGTCCCAGCAGACCTGCAGACTTATGAACACGAGAATAAATGCTTCTTGTTGCATGACCTTCAGTTTCAGAAGAATCTGTTAAGCAGCAGTTTTGTGGCACTATTTAATGAATACATTACTTTTACCAGTGAATGCATTTTCATTTAAACTGGGGTATTCTGGAGTTCATGTTTGTATTCATGTGAATATTTTATAGATTCATTCATGGTAGCAAGAAAATGCTGGGCAGAAGGTGTCTTGTGGGATCTCCTCAGTATGCAACAGGAGGCAAAAACCTACTAAATACATGTTAATTGCCCACATTAGATGATCAGTGTTTTCATTAGAGAATGGAGTAGTTCCTGAGAAGCCTTAGTAACTCAGAATCCTTTCCCAGCAAAGTACATTTTCACCATAGTTCTGGTATAGGTTAGAATGTGCCTCTGGTTACTATGAACTTGCCAGGGCTTTGATGGGCTCTTGAAACTGCTTAATATGGTACCGAGCAGATTTCCAGGTAGAAGTCCTCCAAGGTGGAAGCCAGCAACACTTTCCTGGAACTTGCTCTGTCTGAGATCAACTTTGAGTTTATCCTCTAGTTTTTTCTTTTCTTTTATTTTTTGGTCTATAAAAATCAGTGTTTTAATTTTGAGAGGCTTCTTATTTGTGGCAGCAGGCAGTATATAGAGGAGTGCTCATCTGTCATCCATGTCTTCCAGGAGCTCATGCTCTGAGAAGACACTGTGAACTGTGTTTTAAAATATTTTAATTTATTGATTTATGGAGACAGGGTCCCACGTATTTTCCAGGCTGACCTTGAACTTCTGGGCTCACGTGATCCTTCTACCTCAGCCTTCCAGGTACCTGGGACTAGAGACACACACACCACCACACCCAGCTTCTTCTTGTTTTTTTATGCTTACGTAAAATACCTGCTTCTTATAAAACAGCCAAACAATACATAAATAAATGGCATAGTATGTAAAAGTTCTCAGTAATCCTACATCTCAGAGATAACTACTCACATTGCAAATGTATGCTTTTTAAAAAAAATTTAACAAATGGAATTCCACTATAATGTCATTTTGCAGCTGGCTCTTTCCTACATAACAATATATTGTAGCCCTCTTTCCTTGTTAGTCAGTACTGTATTGGAAAGGCCATTCTCTTTTAGGTATAATTTTGTTCTGCTTTCTAGGATTATATCATAAGCCAACGTAATTATTTTATTTTTTTGAGACAAGGTCTCACTGTGTCGCCCAGGCTGGAGTGCAGAGTAGCTGGGACTACAGGCACATGTCACCATGCCCAGCTAAGTTTTGTATTTTTTTGTTTCACCATGTTGCCCAGGTTGGTCTTGAACTCCTGAGCTCAAGCAATCTGCCTTCCTTGGCCTCCCAAAGTGCTAAGATTACAGGTGAGAGCCACTGTACCCAGCCAATATAATTGTTTATTTGCAACTGCTGAAACAAAAACTTGGAAGAAAAAATTTTAAAAAGGATATTAGATAACCAAAATCAACGCTAGAAAGTCCAGGTAATAAAAGCTCATACTCTTTACTCAGGAATGGATTTCAGTCTGAGGCAATTTTGTTTTAAAATTTAAATTTATTTTATTTTTTTTTAGAGACGAGGTCTCATTCTGTCTCCCAAGCTGGAGTGCACTGGTGAGATTATGGCTCACTGCAGCCTCGACCTCCTGGGTTTAAGCAATCCTCCTGCCTCAGCCTCCTGAGTAGCTGAGACCACAGGAGCATGCTGCCATGCCTGGCTAATTTTTGTATTTTTGGTAGAGACAGCGTTTTGCCATGTTGCCCAGGCTGGTCTTGAACTCCTGGGCTCAAGTGATCCTCCTGCCTCAGCCTCCCAAAGTGCTGGGATTACAGCCACTATGACTGGCCCCCCTGCTTTTTTTTTTTTTTAACTTTAGATGCAATTTGTACACCTTAGCATAAACCCTTAGTAGAAGCAAGACATTAGAGGGAAAGGAACTGTTAGAAGTATGCTTGTGGACGCAGGAAGAAGTGACAGATGCCATCTGACTCTGAGGAAGGATTCAGAAAAAAACATTTCAAAAGAGTTTTAAAAAGACAGTAACCAAGGATCTTTTAGTATAGAGGCGGAGGATCAGCAAATCCTCAAGAGTTCCTGAAGGTAGTCCCAGTGAGAAGGCTGGTGTTCACGACAGTCGCCAGCCCTAGGAGAAGACTTACAATTGCCCACTGTGTTGAAACAGGGAAATTGTTATGCATCTTAGGAAAAGTTTCATCAAAATATGTAAAATCAAATGTGTAAAGGGCAAGCTCCAGTTACATGAAAAAGATAATTGGGTAGTTCCTTCTTCACCTATTGAGTAGACCCGGTTGACCATTCTTTCCTTGAGGGATGTGGAAGCAGCGTGGATCCACTTCCCAGGCTCCCCACTTGCGGATAGTTTGGCCTTGAGACTGAGTGCATTCAGAGGAATGTGAGCAGAAGGGAAGGCATCTCATTCAGATCTGGTCCATGAACGACATCCTTCTTCCTCTTTCCCCATCTGTTGGTGGGATGTCAAAGTTCAGGGCACCCTGAAAAACCTGTATTGAAGACAGCAGGGCTCCATCAGCCTGGTTCCTGACCTTCGTGTCTATCCAAGGCTAATCAGACTTTTTTTTTTAAATTTTAATGTGCACAAAGAGGCAATGATTAGACTTTTAGTTAAGTGAGAAAGTAATTTTCATTTTGTTCTACTATTGAGAAAATGGGGTTCATCTTTATAGCTGCAAGCATTACCTTCAGTTACAGTATAACACAGAGGCAAATACTCTTACCCCAGGCAACCTGAAATCTATGAAGATAGCACAGCTCCACTCGTTTATATTCTTTTGTGTGAAGTCTCATTACCATGAAAACATGACAACAAATGGACCAGGTGAGCTTTTCAGCATAGTGTCCTCCCTTCGTCCAGTGGCTGATCACTGGGATCCTGCAGAAAGCCCAGCTCTCTATGTTTGGCATTACGTCGTCACTGCCTTTGGCCTTGAATGGGGTCTCCGTGGGCCTGGGGAACTTCAGTTGTACAACCCTTGCACTTCGCTGGAAACTATTTGGTTCAAATCTTTATGTCTTACAGCACAGTTTTGTAGTTTTCTTTCAATCTATACCCTCCACATTTCTTGTTAATGGTTATTCTTTATATATAAACAGATCATGTTGCTATTAAAGTGGTGGGATGTATATTTTTCATAATATTCATCATATTTGATTTATTGTTCATATATAGCAAAGTTAGTGATTTGGGTAGTTTATTGTATAACCAGCTCCTTAGCAAATGTTTTGATGAGTTCTGATAGTTTGGCAGTTGATTTACTGAAGTTTGTACGTGGATTGTCATTCGGTAATTCTTACCCCTTTCTGATAGATTTACTTATTTATTTTTATTGCCTTCTCCCCACCCCTATTTGTTAAAATATTCAGAGCAATGTTAAATAATAGCTGTAATATTGGTTATTCCTGTCTTGATTATAAAACTTATTCTATATTTGTAACAGGCTTGATTTCTTATTTTTTGTTTTTTTCTATTCAGGGATATGTGAATTTTATTAAACGAAGGAAATTGTTCCCTAGTTTAATGCTCTGGAATGGATTACAGAGCATGGAAATTACCTGTACCCTGGAGTTGTGTTATTCTCAAATTATGTCAACTGGGGTGTGGAAGAAAATCACCTAAATTCTTTAAGAAGAAAGAAAATTGGAAAAGCAAAATACAATTTTCCCCTTTAAAAATAGAAGCCAGCTTATCAGTAAAGTGCTTGTTAGCTAGATTTTGAAGGTTCAAAAAAAGTGTCTAAGACAAATGCATTTGCTTTGATTGAACTAACTGTTCTCCAGCATCTGACACCCAAGGAGAAGATAAGAATTTTTCTAGCACTAAAAATCCTGTTAGTTCCTATCTTGTAGCACACGGTAGATCTTTTTTTAGTTTACTGTCTCTAACATTTGTGAAATACTCTTTAGACACATTATATTATTATTATTATTTTTAAGACAGAGTTTTACTCTGTCCCCCAGGCTGGAGTGCAGTGGTGCAATCAAAATTCACTGCATCCTTGAGCTCCTGGGCTTACGTGATTGTCCCACCTCAGCCTCCTGAGCATCTGGGACTACAGGCACACATCACCATGCCTGGCTAAATCGTGTTTTTTTTTTTTTTTTTTTTTTTTTAATAGAGACAGCATTTTGCCATGTTGCCGAGGCTGGCATTATGCTATTTTAATAGTAGTTTTTATGAAGGGGAATAATGAATAGCCTGTATGTTCGGTGATGTAAATGATTCACAGAAAACTTCTGAGACCATCCTTAAAGGCGAATTGTAATTAACATTTATATAAAAACATACACCTGATCTCTTCTATAATAGATTAAAAAATGAAATAATCATTGGCAGTTTTGCCCCCTGAAACCTAAACACAATTCAATAAGTAATATGGTGAGATAACTATATGGCCACGGATAACCCCAAATTATAATGTAAACCAAACTCATCCAGTCAGTGTACAAAATGGATTGAATGTAAACATATTTGGCGCATACTGTATGCAGAAATGGGCACACACTTGTAGGCTATGTGCATCACCCACTGTCCTCAGCCCCTTGCTCTGCCCTCCCCTCTTCTTCACCTCCCCTCCCACTTTGAGAAACCCATTCATGGGGGAACCCATTCAGCCTAACTTCCTTCTTCTCCTTTTCCTCCATTAGCTCCCCCAGCTCTAAGCTTGGAGGCAATTGAGGCTGCTCACAGGTGAGTGTGCCACGTGTGCAGCTGCCTGAGTGGGATTTTTCTCTTCCTGCAGGGAAATGGAGCACACCTAGGAATGACCTGCCAGCCCTCCCACCCCTCCCCAGCCCATTCCGCTTCCCTTCCTCCCAGGAGGGATCTGGGCGGTCAGCCTCCATCTTCTCAGGGTCACTTCCCCTGGGCCTGAAACGCTACCTGACATTTGACTCAAAGTTGACAGACCGGGCTCAGGGCTGTGTGAGGCCAGGAGGGAGGGGGCGCAGGAGCTAGAGCTGTCTGGTGTCTGGACCTGAGCCGCCAGGAAGTTGTCCCGTGTAGGCTCCATCAAAGCTGTGCTGGTCCACGTTGTGGGGGACTGCAGAGGACAGTGGTGTGGGCAGCAGGTCCCACTGATGCAGCACTGCAGGCTGCCCTCTGATGGGAAGGAGGAGGGCTGCTATGGGCTGAATGTGTCCCCGCAACATTTCTGTGTTGAAGCCCTAACCCCCAGTGTGATGGTATTTGGAGGCGGGGCCTTTGGGAGGTGATTAGGTTTAGATTAGGTCATGAGGGGGGGATCTTCATGATGCAATTAATGTCCTTATAAAAAGAGGAAGGCAGGCTGGTGTGGTGGCTCACACCTGTAATCCCAGCACTTTGGGAGGCCGAGGAGGGCAGATCACCTGAGGTCAGGAGTTCGAGAGCAGCCTGGCCAACATGGTAAAACCCTGTCTCTATTAAAATACAAAAATTAGCTGGGTGTGGTGGTGGGCGCCTGTAATCCCAGCTACTCAGGAGTCTGAGGCAGGGAGAAGTGCTTGAACCCGGGAGGCAGAGGTTGCAGTGAGCCGAGATGGTGCCACTGCACTCCAGCGTGGGTGACAGAGCAAGACTCCATTTCAAAAATAAATAAATAAATAAATAAATAAAAAGAGGAAGACAGAGTTCTGTTTCTTTCCATACCAAGGAAAGGCCAGGTGAGCACACACTGAGAAGGCGGCTGTCTACGAGCCGGGAAGAGAGCTCTCACCAACAATGGAATCTGCTGGTACCTTGATCTTAGACTTCCCAGCCCCCAGAACTATGAGAAATACATGTGTTGTTTGCGCCACCCAGTTTATGGCATTTTGTTACACCAGCCCAAGCTGTCTAAGGAAAGGGCCATTCCACACAGTAGAACATGTGGAGTGCCTCTGTTGGCTCTATCTTTTCAGACAGTAGGCATCTTCTAAAGTATAGATCCTCTGTCCCTACCCTCTTAATAAATGTAAATTTTCCACAAATTCACTATTATTATATCTTAATGGAATTACTCTAAAACATGTTCACCTAGCCCTAGCGCCTACTTCCTGAAAGTAGTCCCAGTGAGAGGGCTGGTGTTCATGACAGTCGCCAGCCCTAGGAGAAGACTTACTAGATTATTCAGAATTTAATCTGTGTGTATGTCTATTTCTTTTATGCTCTGTATCTTCTCTTGTGACTTTTGGCTGGGTGCAGTGGCTCATGCCTGCAATCCCAGCACTTTGGGAGGCTGAGGTGGGTGAATCCCTTGAGCTCAGGAATTTGAGACCAGCCTGGGCAACATGGTGAAACCCCGTATCTACAAAAAATACAAAATTAGCCAGGTGTGGTGGCACACAACTCTAGTCCCAGCTATTTGGGAGACTGAGGTGGGAGGATGGCTTGAGCCCAGGAGGTCAAGGCTGCAGTGAGCCATGATCGTGCCACTGCACTACAGCCCTGGGTGACAGAGCGATACCCTGTCTCAGAAAAAAAAGAGTGACTTTTAAAATAGCAATATCTGTAATAATTTGAACTTACGGTTACATTTACAGGATTGTAGTGCTCACTGCGGTCTTTTTATTCCATAACATCCATGCTCTGGTTTCCATCTGTGGCTGGAGCGAGGCCTGTCAGGAGTTTCCCTGGAAGGTTGCGTGGTGGTGAACCCCAAGGCCTTGCACGTCTGAGCATGCACAAGTTGCTTTTCATGGGAAACACAGCTTAACTGGTGGGGAACTGTTGGATTATATCTTTCCCTCTTAAAATTCTAGCTTTTGTGTTGTGGGCAAAGGTTAGCCTGACTTTTCTTCTTTGTAGGTAATTTTGTTTTTGCTGCTTTGATGCTTCCAGGATTAATTTCTTACCTTAGAGTTCATTATTTGCATCTTGGTATGTCTGGAAGCTGGTCTTTTGCCATTTAATTCCACCTGGCTCCTAATGAGTCTTTTTCATCTAAGGATGTAATTCTTTCTTTTTTAGTTCAGGCAGGTTTTTTTCTCTTTCTTTATATGATTGTTCTGTCTTTTCTATTTGTTTTGGTCTTTAGGCACATACGTTCTTCATATGTTAGATCGTCAGTCTGTTTTCGGTATCTATTTTCTTTCTCATAATTTTATCTCTGTTCTATTTCTTTAGCTTTCTGGGAAAGCATCTCAAATTTGTCCAAACATTATTGATTTAATTTTTTGCCGTTTTGATTCTACTCTGCATTTCTTCCAGTTTTCTGTAAGCTTTTGTCATCACATATCTGGTATCACAACATTCTTCCTGCTCTCATTTTAGGCTGTCTGGCTCTTAGCCAGACTCTTTTCCGACTCAGGCGGCTGCCTTAACACCTTGTCCCAGACATGTCCATATGGGCCTGCCCTGCTCACAGCCCTTAAGAGGACCCTGGAGGGGCAAGCCCAGCACACCAGAGGCATCTCTCTCCTGCACTGGCTTTGGCTGATGGGACCAGGGATGTACATTTGAACTCAAGAGGCTTCATCTTTCACAAATTTGAAAAAAGCGACAGAGAGGAAAGTAGGCAAGTTGTTTAGGCACTAATATTTTATTGAATTCACTTTTTAAAAAAAACTTAGTGAATATGCGAAACATATGTACAGTGAATACTCAGGTATGCATGCAATATCACACTTAAAACTCTCTGTTCCTTGCCTGAATTTTGACTCTGGACCCCATCTTGTTAGATTGGTGGGAATTCACTTAATTTTTTTAATGGACTTTCTCATTCCAGGTTGGTAAAAAGGAGGTCTCACACATCTTTAGGACATTGGGGTGGAAGCCCCAGGCATTGGTTCTCAGTCTGTTCTGATTATTACTGAGCCGTCTTGCACCGCACCTTCCGGTCCTAGGTCTGCTGTTTCTGTGCCAGGCATGGCGTGTGCAGCATTTTGGCATAACTGGGAACCTCTCAGCGATTCCTCTTGGAGGGCTTACATCTCCAGGCTTCGCCAGTGAGAGGGCTGTGGTCTTATCTACTTGTAGGCTTCTGGGAATCTTTTCTTGGTTTTAGGGAATATACTCATGTTCCTTCTTATTCCCTCAGAGACTCTTTTCTCCCTCAGGACATTTGGCAAATCTCCAACCGCTTTAGGTTTTGGAGCCAACAATCAGGAAGGGAAGCATTGCAGCAGCTTCTGCTTTCTGCCCTGCCGTAAACCTCCACAAGGAAGGAAGCACAGAGCCTGTTACTGCTTGAGAGAGAAAAAGATAAGAAGGAAACAGGTTGGGCAGGGCGTGGTAGCTCATACCTGTAATCCCGGCACTTTGAGAGGCTGAGGAGGGAGGATTGCTAGAGTTCAGGAGTTCAAGACCAGCCTAGACAATGTAGTGAGCCCCTGTCTTAAAAAAAAAAAAAAAAGATGAAAAGAAAAGGAGGAAACACAAATTTATATTATGTAATGTTATGCTAATGTATTGCTTCTGGATTTCTATGTTTTACATTAAAAAAAAAACAGATCCCACTATATAGTTACTATTGTTTCTTTTTTGAGACGGAGTTTTGTCCTTGTTGCCTGGGCTGGAGTGCAATGGCACGATCTCTGCTCACCGCAACCTCCGCCTCCCGGGTTCAAGCAATTCTCCTACCTCAGCCTCTGGAGTAGCTGGGATTATAGCTGGGATTATGTGCACCACCAGGCCTGGCCAAGTTTTTGTATTTTTTTTTTTTTTTTTTTTTTGAGACGTAGTCTCGCTCTGTCGCCCAGGCTGGAGTGCAGTGGCGCAATCTCGGCTCACTGCAAGCTCCGCCTCCCAGGTTCACGCCATTCTCCTGCCTCAGCCTCCCGAGTAGCTGGGACTACAGGCGCCCGCCACCACGCCCGGCTAATTTTTTGTATTTTTAGTAGAGACGGGGTTTCACCATGTTAGCCAGGATGGTCTCGATCTCCTGACCTTGTGATCCACCCGCCTCTGCCTCCCAAAGTGCTGGGATTACAGGCTTGAGCCACCGCGCCCGGCCAGTTTTTGTATTTTTAGTAGAGACGGGGTTTCTCCATGTTGGTCAAGCTGGTCTTGAACTCCCGACCTCAGGTGATCCACCCGCCTCAGCCTCCCAGAGTGCTGGGATTACAGGTGTGAGCCACCGTGCCCGGCTATTGTTTGTTTTTATTCAAACTTGATCTATGAGATTCTATCCAAGATGGTGTTGTAAGGATATTTCTTGGGTATTCTCACTTCTAGATGCTTTTAGGATCTCCCTCCTAACTGGAGCTGGAGGCTGGTTCCTTGCTCAGCGATGGCACAGCCTGAGAGAAATGTGTAGGCTGTTAAGCCTTGGTCAGGCCTGGTGGGACATATGGCACAACCGTCTTCGTTTGAGGAAATGACTGTGCTGGGAGTCAGACTTGCTGCCGCCGGGCTTTTTCCTCACGCTCCTGCCAGCTTTTTCAGGGAAGGAAATGCCCTGTGTCCTGCCCAGCCTCTTCTGGACATTGCTGTTGCTGTCTCGGGGCTGAGCCTTGCTGCACTGGGAAGATGTGCCTCCTGCTTCCACTGCTGCTGCTCTGGTTTGAAGCTTATGCCCTGGGCCCCCAGCCCTCCTACCTTCTTAGGCCCTTAGATCCACTGCTCTAAAGTTCCTCCGAGAGAGTGGATGTTGAGGGGATTCAGGTTCTCCTCTAAGTCCTTCCCACCAGACACACTAATTTTCTATGAGACGTCAGTTGGACATTGGCTTTTGTCCCCTTTCTTCATTTTGGCTACCAATATCATTATCTCTAGAATAATTTTTTGGCTCATGGATGGTACCTTTCCTTAATTTCTAGCACCAATGAGATTTGTCCCAGTTTTACATTTCCTTAGTCATTTCAGACACCTATGCTCAGATCTCCATCTGTTTTTTGAGTTGAACATCTTTTCCCACCTCTCTCCTCCACCAGTTGTCTGTTGCCTTTAATTAACCTCTAAATAGATAACACATTCTTCTTTAATTGTAGTATGGAAATGTCTACGAACAAAACAGATACTTTTTTTTTTTTTTTTTTTTTGCAAATGCGTAGGAAAGAGTGGTTCCAGTCAAGTTCATCCGAAGTTTTAGGCAGCTGCATCTACACAGCCCCGGGGGCATGGAGGTCAGTGTCTGGGGACAGAGGTAAATACCCACCATCTGTGCATCCCTTTGATTTTCCTTTTTTAGTGCCTGATTAATCATCTGGTGCTGAGGGACAGTTCTTGTTTCTTTAAATTCTTCTGGTTTGATTTGGATTTTATACATCACCTACAGCCTCCTGAAATGTCAGTGACTTGGATAGCTGTAGCTCCAGAAAACTTCTCTTTGAGAATTTGGGTCCCTTTGAGCTCCCCGTCAGTCTGGGAGGCAAACATTCAATGAACACAGTGCAGAAGAGGAAGCCTGCAGATCCTGCGTGGAGAGGAGCTACAAGGGCAGGGTTCCACATCTCTGTGTCTGACTGATGTAGCCCGCCGCCCTAGGCCACTGGGCCACCTGAAAGCTGAGCATCCTTTTTAAAAGAATTTTTGGACCTTTTATTTTGAAATAATTTTAGACTTAAAGAAAAGTTGCAAAAATTAAATGGAGTTCCTTTATACCCTTCACCCTGCTACCCCTGTTAACATCTTACATAATCAGGAAATTAACATTGACAGGAAATTAACCAGGACATGAAACCAGGAAATTAACATTCGTACAATGCTTGTAACTAAATTGCAGACCTTATTCAAATTTCCCCAGCTTTCCCCTAATGTTGTATTATTGAGCATCTTTAAAAAATGATTTTTAATGCATCAGAAATACTCACAAATGATTTGCATCGGATCTGTAGTCATACCTGGAGGCCCAAAGAGTGGGTTATATTAATTTTGAGTTATATGTTTGGTCATTTGTGTGTTAATTTTGAAATCACAGACTAGCTCAGTGCCAAGCATGTAGTCTTGGCCGAATGAACATTGACTGTGGCCCTATGCTTCACACTGTGATTTCAAAGATGAGCTAGATGGAGTCTCTGGAGTCAGCATTAAAATCTCTAGGGAAAATCATGTTCTTATGTTGGTAATTCCAAAGATAAGCTGTAAGGAGCACAGTTGGAGCATTTGCTCTCTAGAGATCACATGTTGTAAGGAAATTTTGCTTTTCTGAAAATTAGAAATTAGAAAAATCCTGTCAGCCAGTAAACTTTTAACAAATGGTGGAAACTAGAGCGAGACTGGGAGGAGAGGTATCAGGAATTAGGAAATGTAGCCTTGGCTGGCCTCCTCACCACACCTGGAAATATATCCCTTTGAGAGTAAATTAATGGGACCCCTACATTTACGGAATGAGGATAGTACTGATATTTGGATAACACTCTATAACCAGTGGTTTTCCATACAGCATGCCATTAAAAATCCTCCTCTCAAAACCTGATCATGGTGGTCTGGTGTGCAGAGTGAAATAAAGCATCTTCACCGGCTCTGTTTCTTTCCAGGCTTAGAGATGGCCTGGATCCAGAGGCCCCCTGTGAGTGCAGTCAGTGCGAGCCCTTCAACATGCCCTATATGGTGTCTGCTTCAGACAACTCTCATGCCTATGCTGTCAGGACCGGAATCCTCCCCACCAGGTATGGCCTTGCCTAGGGATTCTAAGTCTTATGTTTACCTGTGCTGTGCAGGTCAAATGTTCTAGTAGTGAAGGAATGACCCACTGATAGAAATGAAGTAGAGAAAGGCGACAATTTAGGAATTTCACCACTAGGCTAAACTACTTCCAAACATTCAGAGAACCTTGGATGAGCAGTTCAAAGTCCAGGGCAAGCACAGAAAATGTTGTGAACAGGTTTCACTCTTTATTCTCCTTTGTTATGAAGATGATGTATTAGTAACAGTGCTACAGGTAGTTAGGCATGAGTGGGGCAGGAGAGGGCTCTCCCTCCACCCACTAGAAATGTCGGGTGATGGTTTGGCAATTATTGCATCGCTTCTCTAAAACTTATAATTTGGCAGCGCCAGGGAGAGGCCATTTCCTGATGGTTCACACCTGTTAACATCAAAATGCTAATTGAATGCAGGCCCCAGGGAGAAGCAACTTCCTGGGCATGCGTGTTAAGAGACAAAAATGGTGAAATATGATCTTCTGGGGGCACCCTCCACTGGAAAAGGAAGAAAGCCTCAGATGGGCATGTGTACAACTCCCTAAACTCACTGTGTGTGCTCAATTCCAAAGAGTAAGGAAAGCATGGGCATGCGGAAAGCCCACCCTAAGGGAAGAATCCTGGGAGAGAGGCGAGCCTATATAGTCCCCTATAAAGGCGAACCTATAAAGATCAAGGTCAAAGGCCCCTTTTGCTGTCTTCTTTTGCTCTCATTTCTCTCTTGGACCTTCAGTGCCTGCTTGGGTCTCTTTCAAGCTAATTTTCCTTTCTTTCCTGTTCTAAAGGCTTTTAAATAAACTTCCACTCCTTCTCTGAAACTTGGCTTGGTCTCTTTTCTGCTTTATGCCCCTCGGTTGAATTTTGGACCCATACAGATATGCTGCCAGTAACTCGGGGAAACTTGGATCTCTTTCACTGTAACGGTGGTAATTGTAATCAACGATAAGTGCTTCTTCTGTGGTTTACTTGAATTATTTCCTTTAATTCTGACTGATTTAATTTTAATTCTGATTTAATCTATAAATCTGTAAATTTTAATCCTGGTTTAATCTATAAATAGGCAATAATACAGATGAAGCTTAAAAAGTTGGGTAACTAGATTGAGGTCAAGTAGCCAATAAGTGCACAGCAGAGCCTTGATTCACACCCAGGCATCCTGGCTAAGAGCCTGCCCTCTTAACCATAGACCATACTGGGACACAAGTGATCCCAACATCATTCTGTTTGATTTGACCTTCAGCATTCTCTCTTCTGATTTGTTTGATGCTCAAGGCCTGGTTTTCTTATTACCTAAAACATACGCTCTTTTAGCTTTTGTTTCCTATTTCTTTGTAAAATGAGGTAACTCTGTTGGTCAGTCTCTAAGCTCCTTTCTAGGGCTAAAATTCTACAGTCCTGCAATTCTTTTTTTTTTTTTGGTTGTTGTTCTTGTTGTTGTTGTTGAGACAGAATCTCGCTTTGTTGCCCAGGCTGGAGTGCAGTGGTGCCATCTCAGCTCACTGCAACCTCTGCCTCCTGGGTTCAAGTGATTCTCCCACCTCAGCCTCCCGAGTAGCTGGGATTACAGGTGCCCACCACAATGCCCAGCTAATTTTGTACTTTTAGTAGAGATAGGGTTTCACCATGTTGGCCAGGCTGTTCTCAAACTCCTGAGCTCAAGTGATCTGCCTGCCTTGGCCTCCCAAAGTGCTGGCATTACAGGCATGAGCCACTGTACCTGGCCAGTCCTGCAGTTCTTGATATCACTCTTTAAGTGTTGGATATCTTTAACATTGCTGCTGAAAATATGCAACAAACAAATTTTATGCTTGCAAAAATAAAGAAATCTGGATGGACCCACCAGAATGTTACCCGGGGTTATTTCTGGGTGGAGGGATGATGGTTGTTTTAAAAACAATTATATTTCTTTTTTCTTTCTTTTTTTTTTTTTTTCAGATGGAGTCTTGCTCTGTTGCCCAGGCTGGAGTGCAGTGGGGTGATCTCGACTCACTGCAACCTCCGCCTGCTGGGTTCAAGCGATTCTCCTGCCTCAGTCTCTCAAGTAGCTGGGACTACAGGCATGTGCCACCACGCCTGGCTAATTTTTGTATTTTTAGTAGAGATGGGGCATCACCATGTTGGCCAGGCTGGTCTCAAACTCCTGATCTCAGGCAATCCACCCATCTCGGCCTCCCAAAGTGCTGAGATTACAGGCATGAGCCACTGTGTCCAGCCTATATTTATTTTTGGCTTGTCTTTGTTTTCTAGTTTTTCTCTAACATAAATATTTGTATAATAAACAAATATTAAAATTTAAGAAGTTGTGATCCTTTATTGTGGGCTGGTAGCCTACATTCAGCCCTTGACTTTGATGAGTAACAAAAGAATGAAATAGTCCCCTAGAAATAAGATAAAAATATTAAAAATTTTAATTGTGGTAAACAAAACCAAACCTAGCATCTTAACCATTGTTAAGTGTACAGTGCAGTAGTGTTAAGTATATTCATATTGTTGCACAGCTAATCCCCAGAAGTCTTTTCTTCTTGCAAAACTGAATCTCTACACCCATTGAACAACTCCCCATTTCCTCCTGCCCTTCAGCCCCTAGTGATATGGACAGGAGACAAGGAAATACTAAGGAGAAGAGGGTGGTTCCCTGCCAAAGGCCCCACCCTTAAGCCTGGAGACCTGTGGCCCTAAGTGGGAACAGGCATTTCTGTTTTTGTGCCCAAAAAGTTGTCTTTTGGCCTGCCGTGCCCCCCATCCTATATCCATATAAACCCTGAGCCCCACGCTTCAGAAGCAGACGAGCAGGTGAGGAGGCAGTGAAATAAGAGACAAGCAGATGAATGGCAGAACAACGCAGCAGAGAAAGAGAGAAGAGGAGGAATGTCGGAATACCGAGAGGAGTTTGGCTAAGGGTGGTCAGAGGGGAGTTCAGCTGCTGGATGGCCATAATCCAGGGAAAGATCATCTTCCCACTTCATCCCCTTTCTAGCTCCCCACCCATCCCTCTAAGAGCCACCTCCACTGCTCAATAAAACCCCGCATTCATCCCTCAAGCCTGTGTTCCAGGGACGCTGGGCAAGAGCTTGAGATACAGAAAGCTGTCACACTGGCCCTCTGCCCTTGCAAAAAGGCAGAGAGTCCATTGAGCTGGTTAACACTCAAGCTGTCCACAGACGGCAGGGCTAAAAGGGCACACTGTAACTCATGCCCACTTGGGCTCCTGCACCTGTCTATCTATGTGCTTCCCCTCCCTTCAGGGGTTTGAGCAGCGGCAGTGACTGAACAGCTAAGCCACACCCCTGTTGCATGTCCTGTGAGGGGGAACGGGGAACTCTTCTGTTTCATTGGCAGCCACCATTCTGTTTTCTGTCTCTCTGAATCTGACTACTTCAGAAACCTCATATAAATGGAATTGCACAGTATTGTCTTTTTGTGACTGGCTTAGTTCACTTAGCATAATTTCCTCAAGGTTCATCTATGTTGCAGCATGTGTCACAATTTTTTTCCAGTTTAAGGCTGAATAATATTCTGTTGTATGTATATACCACATTTTTTTATCCATTCACCTGCTGATGAATAGCGTTGCTTCCACTTTTTGGCCATTGTGAGTACTACTACTTAAAGGTGTTTTTTAAAAAAATTGGGGCTGGTGCCTAATTCAGGGAAAAAAAGGAAGTAAATATCTATGTACAGTAA
Source organism: Homo sapiens (assembly GCF_000001405.40). Lineage (NCBI taxonomy): Eukaryota > Metazoa > Chordata > Mammalia > Primates > Hominidae > Homo > Homo sapiens. The sequence goes on along the minus strand of NC_000009.12, from coordinate 32,921,182 downwards.
GTCCGCACTTAACGTCAGTGATAGGCTCTGGAAACTGTGACTTTAAGTAAGATGACATATAATAAAATCTTTTTTTTCAACTTTTATTTTAGGTTCAGGAGGGTACATGAGCGGGTTTGATACATGAGTAAATTGTGTGTTGCTGGGGTTTGGTATATAAGTGATTTTGTCACCCAGATAGTGAGCATAGTACCCAATAGTATAGTTTTTCCACCTTCACACTCCTCCCACCCTCCACCCTCAAGTATGGCCAGGTGTCTGTTGTTCCTATCTTTATGTCCATGTGTACTCAACATTCAGCTCCCACTTATAAGTGAGAACATGGAGTATTTGATTTTCTGTTCCTGCGTTAGTTTGCTTAGGATAATGGCCTCCAGGTGTATCCATGTTGCTGCAACGGACATGACTTCATTGTAATTTACGGCTGTATAGTATTCCATGATGTATATGTACCACATTTTTCTTTTATCCAGTCGACTGTAGGTGGGCACCTAGTTTGATTTTATGTCTTTGCTATTCTGTATAGTGCGGCAATGAATATATGAGTGCATGTGTCTTTTTGGTGGAATGACTTATATTCCTTTGGGTATATAACCAGTAATGGGATTGCTGGGTTGAATGGAAATTCTGTTTTCTCTTCTTTGAGAAATCCCCAAACTGTTTTTCACAGTGGCTGAACTAGTTTACATTCCCACCACCAGTGGATAAGCAGTCCCTTTTTTCCAAAATCTTGCCAACATCTGTTATTAACAAAACCAATTTTACCATAGGCTAATTGATATAAACAAGAGTCAAGTTCCTATGACATATTTCTGGTCACAGAAACATCACCAAACTTCTAAATAAAGACTCCAAACACTTTTAATATTACACATTGAAATATGAAAGTGGACCGTACATATACTTAAGAAAAATTAGCCGGCCAGGTGTGGTGGCTCACGCCTGTAATCCCAGCACTTTGGGAGGCCGAGGTGGGTGGATCACAGGGTCAGGAGTTCGAGACCAGCCTGGCCAACATGGTGAAACCCTGTCTCTACTAAAAATACAAAAATTAGCTGGGCGTAGTGGCAGCACCTCTAATCCCAGCTACTCGGGAGCCTGAGGCAGGAGAATCGTTGGAACCCGGGATGCGGCAGTTGCAGTGAGCTGAGATTGCGCCACTGCTCTCCAGCCTGGGTGACAGAGCAAGACTCCATCTCAAAAAAAAAAAAAAAAAAAAAAAGAAAAAAAAAAGAAAAATTAATGAAAGCAAGTCAGATAACTACCCGCTTATTCCAGTTCAGGGTGCAGGTGGCCAGAGCCTCTCCCTGCAGCTCTGAGTGCCAGGTGGGAAGCAACCCTGGAGTTCGACATCCCATCGCAAGGCAAACTCACAAGCACCCACGCTGACTCACACTGGGACCAGTTAGACACCCGATTTACCTAACGTGTACAGCTTTGGGATGTGGGAGAAAGCCAGAGTACCCTACGAAAACCCACGCAGACATGGGGAGAGGCGGGCAGATCACCTGAGGTCAGGAGTTCGAGATCAGCCTGGGCAACATGGTAAAACCCCATCTCTACTAAAAATACAAAAATTAGACCGGGTGTAGTGGCTCATGCCTGTAGTCCCAGCACTTTGGGAGGCCAAGGTGGGTGTATCGCTTGAGGTCAGGAGCTCGTGACCAGCCTGGCCAACATGGTGAAACCCCGTCTCTACTAAAAATACAAAAAAAAAAAAAAAATAGCTGGGCGTGGTGGCGGGCCCCTGTAATCCCAGCTACTAGGGAGGCTGAGGTAAGAGACTCACTTGAACCGGGGAGGTGGAGGTTGCAGTGAGCCGAGATTGCGCCATTGCACTCCAGCCTGGCGACGGAGAGAAACTCCATCTCAAAAAAAAAAAAAAAAAAAAAAAATTAGCCAGATGAGGTGGCATATACCTGTAGTCCCAGCTACTTGAGAGGCTGAGGTAGGAGAATCACTTGAACCTGGGAGGCAGAGGTTGCAATGAACTAAGATTGCACCACTGCACTCCAGCCTGGGTGACAGAGCGAGACTCCCGTCTCCAAAAACAAAAAGAAAAGAAAAATTTTTTTGAAATAGCTTAATCAGATATTTAAAATTATAGAATTATAAAAGAGATTATAGGCCATGATTACACTGTGCCCAAATGTTGTTGTTGGAAAATCAGTTTCTTGTGACACGACCAGGATAATTTAGGCACATGGACACGTTGTAGGGTGTGTAGGGCAGGGTTCATTGGGTGAAAAGGAAGAAAAAAAGGGAAACAGGGACTCTCAGCAAAGTGAGAATCCTGCTAGATTGAATCCCCAGTTACCACATGGGAACAGGAGCGGCCAGGCTCCTCCCCCTGCAAACCGCTCAAACTTCCTGAGGCCCCACCCCGTCCTCCCAGTGCACAGGTGGGTTGGAGATTCTCCAGGGAGCCCTTTTTACTTGGCTCTCTCAATATCCTATAAACTCCATGAGAAGTGTTGCACCAGTATTCTCCTTATGTAAAGAAAGCAAAGACTGATATGGGAGGTATCCTCTACCACAAATACTAAAACTTTTTTTTTGTTTTTAAATAATTTTAGATTTACAGAAGAGTTGTAGAGATGGTACAGAGTTTTCATATACCCTTCACCCAGCTTCACCTTATGTTAACATCTTATGTAACGATGGTACATTGTCAAAACTGGGATATAATATCATCAACTAACATACAGAACATATTCATATTTTACCAGTTTTTCCACTAATGTCTTTTCTTTGTTCCAGGATCCAATCCAGTATACCATGTTGCATTTAGCCATAAAAGTTTTTAATTAGGAGAACAAAAGGAATATCAGCTGTTAGGTCGCAGAGAATATTTGTCAGTGGATGCGTAGGGATGTTGGTCAGAGCGAGTTTAAAAATCCTCTTTTTGACACTGGTGTCCGATGCAGTTCTTCCCAACTGTGAGAATGCCTTTTTTGGCATGATGTGGGCTGTCCAAGGAGCCCCAAGTTATTGAAGACTGGGAAGGGCTTGATTCACCCAAATGGTTCCTCTCCCGTTATTGAAATTCTTCTCACGTATCAATCTGTTTTTTTTTTTTTACATTTGCACAAGGCATCTATAGCATGAGTCACAGTAAGAAACTCATCATGAGAAGGTGCCAGATTACAAAATAGATTTTCTTTTTCACCCTAATGGCAGAATCAAGATTTTAAAATTACTGTGATTCAGGAGGCTTAAGAGCATGAGTTTTGAAACTCCATGTCTTTTTTTTTTTTTTTTTTTTTGCCAATGTAAACTGTATTTTGCACTATAAAAAACTAAAATTGCCATTTAATTCAGGCAATCTCAGGTTTAAAACAATTGCCCTGCAGAGCTGTGCTCTTCAAGTTGGAAATGAAATGCGCAATTATACCATAAATGAGGACACAGAGGGGACCACCAGGAGAGGCAGCACACGCCGCTTTGCTGTTCAGTGTGACTGAGTGTGTGTGTGTGTGTGTGTGTGCTATGAGTGTATGTTGATTGTGTGTTGTGTGTGTGGTTTGTATGGCATGGGTGTCTTGTGTGTGGTGTATGTGTGTCTATGTGGTGGGTATGTGGTTTGTGTGTTGGGTATGTATGTGCTATGTATATATGGGTGTGGTGTGTGCATGTGGTGTAAGTGCATTGTTTGTGCAGTGTGTGTGTGATGAATGTGGATTATGTGTATGTCTGGTCTTGTGCAGGGAGCTGAGACCCAGGGCTTAGGGTTTTTGTTTTAAAAGTATCTCCGCATTGAGATCAATTGCTAAAGTCTTTTCAAATGTTTTGCCTCTCCAGAAATCATTTGGTAGGTATTTTCTTAAGCCCAAATGTTTGCTTTTTAGGGGGAAACTTCAAATACTGTAACCTAGATTAGAGTGAAAGTGATTGCTGCATTACTGTAATTTCAGTAAATGCTGAAGTTTAATTAAGCAAACAAAGCCACTTTTATTCAGTTATTATGCTCAGAGATTCAAGAGGGCCTATCTCTTTTGTCTCTGATGTATAAATCTGTTTCTTCTTGTCAGTTGTAGCCATTTCTTGCTCTTCAGAGGTGGCTACATGGGATGATGTGCCTCATTTTGGCGTCTCTGCCCATTGGCCCTGTGCCGCTCTGTGGGAGACAGACAGTGTTGTTTAGATGCTGAGTATGGGAGCTCTGGAATCAGACTGCCTGGGTCCAGCTGCTGGATCCACCAACTAGGTGAGGGCTTAACCTCAACGAGTTTCCTCATTTGTGAAATGGGCTAATGTTGGTACTTTCCTTGCAGGGATGTTGGGAGGCTTATGTGAGATGATGATGTAAACATAATGCATGGAACATAGTAAGTTTTCAGTGAACACACACTTTAGATGATGAGAGGATCTTGGATGGATACAGCTGTCCTCCACAGGTATAGAGAAGGGGGGAAGCCATTAGTGGGCCATTTTGTCCAAGATTTGTTATGAATGTATTCCATTTTGCTTGCCTACACTGATTAGATTCATGAGTGACCTCTTACCTTGTGCATCAGTGTACCTGCCCTCTTGGTGGGATAACTAATGCATCACTTAACAAATGCTCATGAGGGGTTCTGAAGATGCCAGTGTAGATCTGGTTCTTTGTTAGGGCAAAAGTCCTTTGAGCAAAACTGCTCTCTCTCCAGTGTTGAAATTGGCCTTATCATCTATTTCCTGCACTGGAATAGGTAAGTGTCTCAGCAAAACGGTACTCTCAGAGCATTAAACGGTACTCTCAGAGCATTAAAAACAATGGTACTCAGAGTATTAAGAACAACGGTACTCTCAGAGCATTAAATGGTACTCTCAGAGCATTAAAAACAGCGGTACTCAGAGCATTAAGAACAACGGTACTCTCAGAACATTAAAAACAATGACAACAACAATAAATGCCTGGCATATTATATAAGTCACTCTGACTCTGCAGTTATTTGCCATGATTTTCAGATGAAAGTTCACTATTTCAGATGAAAGTTCTGCTATTTCTGGGCCCTTATGCAGACATTAAGGTCTCAGCGAAGTGCCCATTAGAAGGCTCTGGGTGCTGAAATGGAGACTGGATGTGTGCTGCCTGCTGTGAAGGGCCTTTTCCAGGCCCTCTCCTGGTGTGAGGAATGCAAATTGTGGATTCAAGGGGGCTCTGGAGGTGGGGGAACTCCTACAGAAACTCCGAGCCTTCCACATGTCTAGCACTGAAGCCGCTGCAAAGAGTTTTGTGAGGACATGTAGTGCCCAGCCAGCTGGAAAGATGCTGATGGGGACAACTGCTCCATCCACCATGCGAGCATCCGCTTCTGCCTGCTGGCCTTCCTGGTTAGTGCTGGTCTTTAAAATCACTGCTGGGAGTTTTGCTGAATGTCAAAAGTTATTAGTGAGAAAGCATTCCTGCCAGGTTTCTATCAGAACTCACCTCTCCCTCTCTTCCTGTCTTTTCTGCTGTAACCTCGATCTGGGCCCCACAGGTGGATAAAGGGACGACCTCCAGGTAGTCGTCATTCAGTGTTAATGACAAAGCCTTCTCCTGCACCTGTCCTTTAATCCCAAATTTATCCCATCTCCCCTCAATCCCATCTACTCAGCCAAGACTTCTTCATTATTTCTCCAGCAAGAGGTGGATCAGTATCTTCATCTTTTTTCAGGCATGACTTTGCTCCCTTCATTTCACTTTCTCTCCAGCAGTTTTTCCAGGACCATTTTCTTGTAGAATATTTTACCCCTTCTAGGTTCTCTGCTGCTAACCTTTGCATCGGGCTTAGCTGTACCTGCATGTCCTCCCCATCCAACTCACCAAGGCAAGTTGTCTTTTTGATGTAGATAACTCCTGCCCTCTCACTTTTAATAAATGTGTCCAAATTTTCAAAGGGTGATGACAATTTTCTTTAGACCCTGAATTATTCACCTGTACCACCTGGGGTTATGCTATTGATCAATCAACAAATCAATGAAGAAATTGGTAAATGATGAATGTTATTAAATGAATGTAATATGTGTTTTGAGGGCATATAAAAGGATAAAATCTATTGGGCTGCTTTCAAGAAGCTTATAATCATGTTAGAGAGACAATATTAACATACGTGAATCAATAAAAGAACAGAGGACTGGTATGTATTAATTTTTACAGCCTGCCCACATGAAGGAATTGAGGTGCTTTACAATAAAAGATAGCTGTATAAATGTTACAATAATGATACAAGATCAAAAGTCATATAATGAGTAGATAATTAAAAAGGAAACCCAATGTAAGGTAAATTGTTAGGCTTCAGTACAAAATTTAAGACTGAGCTTCCTGGAAGTTAAGACAAAGGAGAAACATGATGAGTTACATAATTTCCTTATACATTCCATGATTTTCTTACCTATTCCTGCACTGGAATAGGTAAGTGTCTCCGCAAAATGGTACTCTCAGAGCATTAAATGGTACTCTCAGAGCATTAAAAACAATGGTACTCAGAGTATTAAAAACAACAGTACTCTCAGAGCATTCATTGATTTATGTGTTGTGTACATACTGTGTTCCAGGCACCATGGATATGAAGGTGTACAAGATAAATTCTCTGTCTTCATAGGGTTTATATTTTAGTGGGGAGAGAGAGTCAATAAAGTCAGTAAAGTAAGTAATTCCTGGTAGTGATGAGTGCCCTGAAGGCAAATGAAGTGGATGAATGAGATAGAGAGTGTTGGGAAGGCGGGGGAAGATGTCTGAGTAGCTGACATTTGAGCAGACAGCTGAATGGTGAGAGGGAGCCCAGCTACCAGGCCCAGCCAACTTTTAGTATTTGTTGTGGTAGAGACTGGGTTTCACCATGTTGCCCAGGCTAGTCTCAAACTCCTGAGCTCAAGCATTCCACCTGCCTCGGTCTCCAAAGTGCTGGGATTACAGGTGTGAGCCACCACACCTGACCCAAGTTATCTCTTAAGTAGCTCAAATTAAACATGTCCAAAACAGAAGTCCTGATTTTGCTCCCCAGACCAGCCCAGTCTTTATCCAAAGAGCATTTCGGGAGAAGGAAAAGGAAGCTCCAAGACCCAGAGGTAGGAAAAACTTGGTATATTTGAGAAACAGCCAGTTGGACTGGAGAGGACTTGTACAGAGTAGGGGATACAGTGGTGGTGGTGGTGGGGAGTGGCAGAGGCCTGGTAGGAGATGAGGTTAGAGAAGGTAGCCATGTATGGCTTTGTAGAGATTTGGATTTTTCCCCCAAGAGAGATTGGGAACCAGTGGAAATTTTAATCAAGGAGCAATGTTGTATATTTGAATGCCTAATTCTAATTTCCTCTGGCTACTGTCTGGAGAATGGATGTCAGGGAGCAAGAGTGGAAGCAGGGATGCCAACTGGGAGACTATTGCAGAAGTCTCAGTGAGAGATGACAGTGGCTTTATCCAGGATAAAGCTGGTGGAGTTGTGTTAAGTGTTCAGTATTGGAAGTAGTATCAACAAGACTTGCTGATTTGCTGCATGAAGGAAAGAAGAGAAAGAGAGGAATTGAGATTGCTCTAGGTTTTTGGCTCGAGACAATAGATGAATGATGATCCATCTTTTGAGATGGTGAAGACTGGGCTGGTTTGGGGAGCAAAATCAGGAATTCTGTTTTGGACATGTTTAATTTGAGCTACTTAAGAGATAACTTGGACCAGGTGTGGTGGTTTACACCTGTAATCTCAGCACTTTGGGAGACTGAGGCAGGTGAGTCGCTTGAGCTCAGGAGTTTGAGACTAGCCTGGACAACATGGTGAAACCCAGTCTCTACCACAAGAAATACAAAAACTTAGCTGGGTGTGGCGGCATGCACTTACGGTCCCAACTGCTGGAGAGGCTGAGGTGGGAGGATCGCTTGAGCCTGGGGGGAAGAGGCTGTAGTGAGCCATGATCACATCACTGCCCTCTAGCCTGGGCAACAGAGTGACACCCTGTCTCAAAATAAATAAATAAATAAAAGAGATAACTCATTGAGATGTCAAGTGGACAGTGGTCAGGTAGATCCTTAAGTATGGATGTCAGGGAAGTGGTGGGGACAAGAGGTGTACATATTCGGGTGTGAGCAGGCATCCAAGTTGTGTCTATGACTGTTTCAGTGGAGCACTTAACATAATGGACAGGGTTTTCTTTTCTCTTTTTTTCAGACACCTATTGTTTGCTAATGGACAGTGTTTTCAATGGAACAAATATAGAAACATTTTTCAAATGGCTGCTTTGTGACTGTATTAGTCAAAGTTCTCCAGAGAAACAGATGTGTGTGTATGTGTATATATATATGTGTGTGTATATGTGTGTGTGTGTGTGTGTGTGTGTTTGTGTGTGTGTGTGTGTTTGTGTGTGTGTGTGTGTGTGTATAAAATCTCCTGGTTCTCAGGCCTTTTTCAGATTTGGACAGGAACCACACATCAGCTCTCCTGGGTCTCCAGCTTGCCAACTGCAGATCTTGGGATTTCTCAGCCTCCATAATCACATGAGTCAATTCATTATAATAAATGCTAAAGTAAATCTCTCCAGAGGGAGAGAGAATATCTTCTATTATGTATGTCTAAATAATACATATTTATTGGTTTCCAGAGAAACAGAACCAATATGAATCTCTCTCTATTCTATATAATATATAGAATATTATGTCATATATAATACATATGGTACAAGTCTGATGGGGCAGCAGACATCTCTGGTGGGGCAGCAAGTGTTGGTCAGGGAAGGATTCTCAGAGGAAGGGGGATCAGGGTTTTACTAGGTGGAGGGGAAGGCAGGGAAGCGGGGTATAGAGACAGGCATGGAGGTGTGGAGGAACCAAAGTGTCCAGACAACAGTGAGAAATTCAGTGTGACTGGTGTGTAGGGTGAACGGTATAGAGTGGAGGGAACTGAGACCAGTTGGGCCGAGGGAGTGAAGGACCTTGTATTTCTGCCTAAGGAACTTGGATTCTCTCCTGCAGGCCCATGGCTCTCTACCTTTCATGGGTACAAGAATCACCTGGGGAGCTCATTAAAAAAGGGAATTCCTAAGTCTTCTCTCCAAGGAGATGGTTGCAGTAGGTCTGGGGCTCAGCAAGCAATAGCTTAAGGAGCTCCCCGGCCTGATTCTTATGTGGTTGATACACAGATCCCACCATTGCTATGGGCTGTGAAAGGCTTTTCAGAACTGGAAGTGACATGGTCCAATTTACTTTTTAGGAAGATAATTCTGCCAACTGTGTGTAAGATGGACTGACTTTACTGGTAGGGAAAATATATAGGAGTTGCTGCAGGCATCCCGGTGAGAGAGGATGAGGGCTAGGGCTGAAATGTTAGTGGGGATGAAGAAAAGGGCTGAATCTAAGGCACCTGTGTGAGTTAGTACACACAGTTGACCTGAGCAAGTAAAGGACTGAGGAGAATGAAGGTTGATTCTTACATGTCTATTTGGAAGAACAAGTGGTCAATAGTAAGTACCAGGCAGTAATAATGCCTGGTACTTGTTAGCTATTTGTGGAATGAGTGAATAAACAAGTGAATAAATAAATATAGGACAGAAAGAAGTTGAGATGGGGGTAAGAAAGGAAAATTTCATTTTAGGTGTGTATTTAAAGTCAAAACAAGAAATATTGATCTAGTATCTGTGAGGGAAGTTCATACAGAGTTGGAGGTATGGATTTGGAAATTGCATAGAGATAAGGGTTCTTGAAGCAATAGCAGAGTCTGAGAATCTCACATTCATCAAGAAGGTGTAAGACCGAAAGAGAAGAAAGCCAAGGATGTAAAGCATTTGGGGTATTTAAGGTCAGACAGAGGAAAACTGGCTGGTAGAGAGGGGAAAGTGGTTAAACAGAAGTTAGGGGATTGAAAGGAGGTATGTTTTGAAAAGGCATAAAGATAAAAAAGAATTTCATGAAGCAAGTGTGCATGTGTGAGTGCAAGTGTGTGTGTGTGTGTGTGTGTGTGTATTACTGGAGGGATATATCGGGAATATACTGTCAATCTGAATGTGTTCTACCTCAACTCTTTTTTTTTTTTTTTGAGACAGAATCTTTCTCTGACACCCAGGCTGGAGTGCACACATGGATAACTTTTGTATTTTTATTTATTTATTTATTTATTATTATTTTTTGAGACGGAATCTTGCTCTGTCACCCAGGCTGGAGTGTAGTGGTATGATCTGGGCTCACTGCAACCTCCGCTTCCTGGGTTCAAGTGATTCTCCTGCCTCAGTCTTGTGAGTAGCTGGGACTACAGGCACCTGCCACCATGCCTGGCTAATTTTTGTATTTTTAGTAGAGACAGGGTTTCACCATGTTAGGCAGGCTGGTCTTGAAACTCCTAACCTCAGGTGATCTGCCCGCCTTGGCCTCCCAAAGTGCTGGGATTACAGGCATGAGCCACCGTGCCTGGCCTGTTTTGTATTTTTAGTAGAGACAGGGTTTCGCCATGTTGGCCAGGCTGGTCTCAAACGCCTGGCTTCAAGCAATCCGCCCAACTTGGCTTCCCAAAGTACTGGGAATACAGACATGTGCCACCACACCTGGCCCTAAATTCTTCTTTCTAATGTAGTTTGCCAGTTGATTTAGCTCTTTCTTAAAGTCATTCGTGAATCACGATAGGAAAACCAGGTCAACAGCATGAAGATACTTGTCTTCCTATTTGCTACAGCTGGAGGACAGCACTTATTTTAAATAGAAGCTGTTTCAGCATATTTAGACATGAGGTGGGCCGGGACATATTAACTCTCACTCCATACCCACAGCATATGTTTCTTTGTAGTATTTAGGTTAGAATCAGCCCTGTCAGTATCTCTTATCTGTTAACATTTTATAGATTTTGAAGATGTATTAATATACTCCCATCATCAGACATGAGGGTGCCCATGTCACTCTTTTTTTTTTGGAAAATGTTTATTAAAAACATCTCTGGTAATATGTTTGGCAAAAACTGGTAATTCATTTTAATTTTGATTTCTACTCCAGGCAAACGCTTTTCACATGGTTACTAGACATTTGTATTTTTATTAGACATTTTTTCTGTAAATTCTGTCCGGTTTTGTTGCCCATTTATATTTTGAGACCTTAGAGGTCTTTTAGATTGATATGTATATGTTCCTTTTTATTAAAGGCATAATAAACCTTTTTTATACTTGTTCAATCATTGATACACTTGTTCAAACAATCACTTTTTCTTATTTTATTTTATTTTATTTTATTTTATTATTATTATACTTTAAGTTTTAGGGTACATGTGCACAATGTGCAGGTTAGTTACATATGTATACATGTGCCATGCTGGTGTGCTGCACCCATTAACTCGTCATTTAGCATTAGGTATATCTCCTAATGCTATCCCTTCCCTCTCCCCCCACCCCACAACAGTTCCCAGAGTGTGATGTTCCCCTTCCTGTGTCCACGTGTTCTCATTATTCAATTCCCACCTATGAGTGAGAACATCCGGTGTTTGGTTTTTTGTCCTTGCGATAGTTTACTGAGAATGATATTTCCAATTTCATCCATGTCCCTACAAAGGACATGAACTCATCATTTTTTATGGCTGCATAGTATTCCATGGTGTATATGTGCCACATTTTCTTAATCCAGTCTATCACAAACAATCACTTTTTCAAACAATCATCGATGCAGTGGTGGAAAGGAAGTGTTAACAGTCTTTAGAGCGGGCTTTACACTAAATTCTGGCCCTCTGACTCTCACCAGCCAGGGTTCTTGGTCTTTGGCTCTTACTCTTTTGTTTACATTTCTGGAAGATTCTACAGCCAAGCCCAAGAAAGCTTTCCTTACAGGAATGGTGCCCCTTGAAAAAAACTAGAGGATGAGCTTGTGGGTCCGATCTGCTGGATGACTTGGCTTCCTCTCCTCTCTTTCAAAGCTCAGGCAGGCATACTGGAAGTCTTATGGCACCCGGGGTATTGGGCTTCCTTGTAGTTGAATGCCAGGAATGTTGTTCTTGTTTTCGGCCTAAAAGGAAAACACACATGTATTTATGTCTCTTGGATAACAGGAGTGCAAGACCTTCTCTTTTGATTCCCTCCAAAGTTTTAAATTCAGCATCAGATGATTATTTTTAAAAAATTAAAATCTGCCCCAGTGGTCGGGTGCGGGGAGCAGATGAGAGCCACTATCATATCATTTTCACTCTGTTGTCCAGGCTGGAGTGCAGTGGCACGATCTTGGCTCACTGTAACCTCACCTCTTGGGCTCAAGCCATCCTCCTGCCTCAGCCTCCCAAGTAGCTGGAACTACAGGCATGCGCCACCATGCCTGGCTAATTTTTGTATTTTTTGTAGAGATGGGTCTTGCCACGTTGCCCATGCTAGTCTTGAACTCCTGAGCTGAAGCAATCCACCTGCCTTGGCCTCTCAAAGTGCTAGGATTATAGGCGTAAGCCACCATGCCCGGCCTCAAATTTCATTTTTAGTAGTTTATTTTTGGTGTTTTGTTGTATATTGATCTTGTTTACTAGTAAACTTGATCAGTTCCCTTATTTATAGATTGTTTTCTCTGAGAGAAGTTTCTTAGTATTAGTCTTTCTTCTTCCTCAGTGGAAGAATTCATCAGTACAACCAACTGGATCTGGAGATTCCTTTGTGGAAAGACTTAAAATGATAGATTCAGTTTCTTTAATAGCTAAAGCACCATTCAGATTTTCTGATCTTTCTGAGGCAGTTTTAATAAGTTTTATTTTTCCAGGAGTTTGTCCATTTCATCTAATTTTCCAAATTTATTGGCCTAGGGTTGTTCTAATATCCCATTAGTAACTCTTTGATGTTTGTGGGGTGTAGGCCATTTTTGTAGTGAGGCCATTTTTGTTCCCTTACTTATGTAATTTGTGCTTGATTTCTCTTTTTTTATTGGTCTTGCTAGATAATTATTCCTATTTTTTCAGTGTTGAAGGGAAAGTTACTGAGTATCAGGCTGTCTTCCCCAGGCCTCCTCTCTTCAGGAATCTTGGCTATTTAGGTCCTGGCTGTCTTGGCAGGCTCCAACCCAGCTCCACAAGATTGCCAGCTTCTTTGCCTCTTAGCATTCATTCTCTGCCTGCCTTCTCAGCAACCCTACTCCCTGACCCCCTACAACCCCGGCCACCCTAGGAGTCATTAATGCCTTGAGGGCGAAAGAGGTATAAAGAATATTGGACTCACTTAGTCAGCTTCTTTTTTCTTTGGAATCTTAGCCTTTCAAATTCTGGATATTTTTGACAGCTCTCTGATAATGTTAAACAGACAGTTTAAATCTCAGACCCTTTATCTATCACCCTCCTACCCTCTCATCATACCCTCCTCAGCCCTAGACAACCATTAATCTACTTTCTGTATCTATATAGATTTGCCTATTCTGGACATTTCATATAAATGGAATCAGATAGTAAGTGGTCTTTTATGACTGGCTTTGCATAATGTTTCAAGGTTTCTCCACGTTGTAGCCCTTCCCGGTATTTCATCCTTTTTTATTCCTTGGCAAATTGTCACCATCCTTTCAAGTTTGGATTCACTTTTAACATTTTATCCTCTGCACTTTCAAGGTTGTGAAATATCTTTGAGAGTTTCTTTAACCTGACATTTTTGCCAGCATCCCTTTCTCTGGGACATCTTTGTGCTTTTGTCATAGCCACTCTCTTGTTTGAGAGCATCATAACCTACTTTCCTTAACTAATTCTTGAAATCTTGTTTCAAATTTCACGGCAGAAAACTTATTTTCACCAGCTACTTAATCAGATAGCTTACTGTAAATCATTCATTCTGGCATCTGAAATGATGAAACCAGTCTTTATTGGCAGTAGAAGTTTCTTTGGCTTCCTTAGAATCACTGTTTTCTTTCAGCATGGCAATGATCACACTTTGGGATGCTAGCTGAACTGATTGAGATTATGTTTTATTGCAGCCCTCGATTCAAAGTGAGAGGTGAAGCTGACTGGACTTCTGGGTCGGGTGGGGACTTGGAGAACTTTTCTGTCTAGCTAAAGGATTTTGTAAATGCACCAGTCAGCGCTCTGTGTCTAGCTAAAGGTTCGTAGACTCACCAATCAGTGCTCTGTGTCTAGCTAATCCGGTGGGGACCTGGAGAACTTTTCTGTCTAGCTAAAGGATTGTAAATGCACCAATCAGTGCTCTGTGTCTAGTTAAAGGTTTGTAAACGCACCAATCAGCACTCTGTAAAAACGCACCAATCAGTGCTCTGTGTCTAGCTAATCAGGTGGGGACCTGGAGAACTTTTCTGTCTAGCTAAAGGATTGTAAATGCACCAATCAGCGCTCTGTGTCTAGTTAAAGGTTTGTAAATGCACCAATCAGCACTCTGTAAAAACGCACCAATCAGCGCTCTGTGTCTAGCTAAAGGTTTGTAAACACACCAATCAGCACTTGTAAAAATGGACCATTCGGCTCTCTGTAAAATGGACCAATCAGCTCTCTGTAAAATGGACCAATCAGCAGGATGTGAGCGGGACCAAATAAAGGAATAAAAAGCAGGTCACCCCAGCCACCAGTGGCAACCTCCTCGGGTCCCCTTCCAGGGTGTAGAAGTTTTGTTCTTTCGCTCTTAGCAATAAGTCTCGCTGCTGGTCATTCTTTGGGTCCGCACCACCTTTAAGAGTTGTAACACTCACTGCGAAGGTCTGCAGCTTTACTCATGAAGTCAGCATAGACCACGAACCCATCAGAAAGAAGAAACTCCAGACACATCTGAACATCTGAAGGAACAAACTCCAGACACGACATCTTTAAGAACTGTAACACTCACTGTAGAGTCCACGGCTTCATTCTTGAAGTCAGTGAGACCAAGAACCCACTGGAAGGAACCAATTGCGGACACAAAAGCAGAAGTAAGCACTCCATTTCAACCACATGTGGCTTTCTCTTCCTACTGCAATTTAAGCTAAAATATGTTGAAGCTGCTTTACCTCATTTTTTATATTCAGCGAACTTTGTCGGCATAGTTCATACCCTAGCTTCCTGAAGGCCTAGTTATTGTCCTATCTTTGCTTTGATGTTGCCATTTTCAAATCTTCTCATCACACCAATTTCAATTTTCTGCATTACCACTTTTCATTTCTTTGCTGCACTTTCAGATTTGTTGTAAACTTTTATATGAATTTATCACTGGGGACGAGAAGGCGATACAACTCTATGCTTTATTGTCTGTACCTGAACTGAATAACAGATGCCTGGTGACCAGTCACTGACAGACTTTAAAAGAAGTGATGTGATTGGTTACTGATCATGATGCCCATCTGTTACTGATATGGTGATTTGTGGGCTTAGTTTAGCGCAAAGTTTGTATTTTATGTGATTACTCACCATTAATATACAGTGGTAAGTGCACTTTGAGTTGTTTTGTTGGGTGACTGATGTTATTTAACTAAACTATGGTAACTGAAATTTGTACACATTAGAACCATGCAGAAGGTGGGACGTCTGTAATCGCTTATCTTTAAACATAATAAAAATGTTCAAACACACTCTCTCATTATAATCATCTACTTAATAATGCTGGGTCTCTAACTCTGAATATCTTATTTGCATCAGAGTCTTAAGGCTGTACAGTTCTGGTTTTTGAGTTTAAAAATTATGGTATTGGCTCTGAGCTCTTGTGATTATCTTCCCAAAATGAGGTCTTCTCCTTGCTTCCTCCCTCTGCTAGTGAGTTCTCCAGCAGCTCTTCCTCTGACATGTAGCATTTCCTTTCATGGACAAAACAGCAAGGCTGCTCTATCTCTAGCTCTTGTTCTCTCTCCCTTTCTTTATGTTCTTGTGATTTAGAGCTGCCCTCCAGAAACAAATCACACCCCACACCTGGCTTTATAGCTCCTAGCTTCCAATGAGGATGAAAGTTTTGCTTTGCCACCTACAGTGTCAGCCAGCTAGACCCTGAGTTTTCTAATGAATAACTTATAAACACTGAAAGCACTATTTTTCCTGAAGGATGCCTCACAGTGACTGTTACAACATTTCTTTCAAACCTCAGGCCAACCTATTATTTTTCCCTTTAAGAATCTAAGTTTCAAAAACTCTTCTATAGTATTTAACATGAGCTTCAAAGGCTCGCAAAAGGAAAGGGTTCCTGAAGAGGCTTTGTCTCTCTTTTTTTTTCTTTGGAACGTTTGATACATTTTCAATGTAACAAAATAGGTTTTAAATGAATCCAGAGAGATTCCATGTAGCTCTTTTGTACCTCCAAGCACTTAAAACATAACTAGGCATATAGGAAGCATTTAACAAATGCTTGTGGCTTTATTGATTGAACTTACAACCTGCAGGCATACTTTTATTTATATGTAAATTTATCTCTGCAAATTGATTTTTGTGGGTTGGAGAGGGAGATGTGATATACTGAATTGGGAGGAGGGGAAGAAAACTTGCTCTGTGAAGATTCCTATTGTGGGTCATTTTATCAGAATGACAAATTCAAACATCTTTGTTTGATGATGCTTTTGTCAATAGGTTGTTTGCATCATAACTACTCTCTTTAACTAATTCTTGGAATCTTGTAGGGAAAATGTCTTCTGTTTAAATCTGTATTTTAAATACAGCCACCTATTAGTGAATGATAGCCATCTATTAGCGAAAAACCTTTGCAGTCAAAATAAAGGATTGGCATTTAAAAAGATAAGGCAATGAGAATTGGGGAAAGGGATCTCATGAGCATCCTTACGACCTACCTATTTTCTGGAGGGAAAAAGCACAAAACCTAATGGGAATTTCTTCTGGAGGTGTGCTGGTGGCCAGGCTGTCAAGTCCTCCAGTAGTTGGAAGTCTGGGCTATGTTCCTTTTCACTTTGTCTCACCTATGATACCTTTGCTATGCTATGAATTCAGTAGACACCGAAAAAGTGTATAGTGAAGGGAGAGCTTCCTCTCCTTTCTGTTGTTATTTCTGAGCAACTTAGGGCTATTTGAAGGTAGAGATAAATCCGTGAAGTAGTCTTGTTTTTGTTTTCTAAGCCTGTAGCAGAGAAGGGGCCTATTTACACAGGCGGGTGGGTGTGTCTATGGAGTGATTAAATCATGCTTTCTGTAACACTTTAGAAGATCCCTTCTGGGAGGATCAAAGGTCAGTTACAAAGCAGTTCAGGGCCCAACATGAAGGTTCTGAGAGCTTATGGTGCCATGTGGTGATATTGGATTTAGGAACAGAAAAGCATAATGCTAGAAATTCCTGGGTGACATGGTTCATGACATGATTTAAATTAAGGGTAAAATATTGGCAATGAAAGTCTCCATAATCCTAGTGCTAATTGCACTGGACCAAAGCACCATTCAGGAGTTCCTCAGTGCTTGCTTAATTTGGTTTTTGTTCATCCATGTTGTTTTAGATGGAAAGTTTCTAGAAAGCAGGATTCGGGTTTGTCGTGAATGGAATTGTGTCCTTCCCAAAGTTGGTAGGTTGAAGTCCTAACCCCTAATACTTCAGAATATAACTATATTTGGAGATAGGGCCCTTACAGAGGTAATTAAGATAAAATGAGGTTCTTAGGGTAGATCCTAATACAAATATGACTGGTATTGTAAAAAGATACTATTAGGACATGGATATGAACAAGGGAAAGATTACGTGAAGACACAGGGAGAAGAAAACATCTAAAAGCCAAGGAGAGCAGCCTCAGAACGAAACCAATCCCACTGACACCTCGATCTTGAACTTCTAGCCTCCAGAACTGTGAGAAAAGAAATTTGTTATTTGAGTCACTCAGTCTGTGGTCTTTGTTATGACAACCCTAGCAAACTAATACAAGGTCTATTTAAATCTCTCTGAATAGTGCCAAGTCTCAAGACAATATGTAAAATAGATGCCTTTAATGGAGAAGGCAGAAATATGACAGATGAACTGAACTTACTTTTATTTTTTTCTCGTGGCAAATGTTGCATTTAAAGGCCAGGAATTAAAGCGGGGAGAATCAGATAGGATCTTAGATTTATTATTATCTTTTATTTTACAACCGAAGATCTCTCAACTCCCTCAGAAGTAAGTCTTTGATAGGAGGCCGGGGATGGGGGGGAGTCCCAGACTACTTTGATTCCATTAGGGATTAGTAGAGATTATTTTGAGAAATGACTTTGGAGAGATATTTGGAAATTATTTGTATTTACTATTATCTGGTCTAAGCAGTGATTTTTAAATAGTGTAGCACCTTGGTTTTATCAGTGTTCAGGTAAGAATGAAGTTGTATAGGATGTGCTAAAGATTAAGGAGCCTTTGAGCCAGGAGATCCCAAATGGGCAGAGAGGAGTGGGCTCTGAGCAGAAGTGGGACCCCAAATGCTGCAGATGGTAGGGCTGACAGTTTCACCTGGGTTTCTGTTTCTTGTTTAATGGACTTTGTTTTTCCAGCTGTAAAAGTAGTGTAAGTTCATTATAGACAATTTGGCAAGTCCATGGAAATGCCAATCAGAAAATAAAAATCTCAAGTAATCCCAGCAAGAAAAAAAAAAAAAGTTGCAATAATAAAACAGGCAGTATATAGTATATATGTGCTTTTGCCCTAAAATGGGAGTTCCCTGTCCCCACTCACAGGACATGCGACAGGGTGTGGCTGGTCTGTTTGGCTACTGTGAGCACTCAAACCCCTTATGGGACGGGGAGCATGCAGACGGGCAACTGCAGGAGCTGGGGCAAGTGCTTTCTTGGCCTCCAGCGCCATGGAAGCTCTAGGGGTGAATGCCTATGACTCCCAAAGCCCAAATGGGTGTGTGTTACAGTGCGCTCTTTGAGCTTTGCCATCCATGTCCAGCTTAAATATCAAACAGCTCAGTGGACCCTCTACCTTTTTGCAAGGCAGAGGGCCAGTGTGACAGCTTTCTGTATCCTGAGCTCTTGTCCGGCGTCCAGGAAAAATCAGATCGCACATGGACTTGAAAGACAGTGAATGCAGGGATTTTATTGGGTGATTGAGGTCGCTCTCAGTGGGGTGGGTGGGGAGCTAGAAGGGGGATGGAGTGGGAAAATGATATTCCCCTGGAGTTTGGCCATCTAGCGCTGATCTCCTCTCTGACCATGCCCAGCTGAACTCCTCTCAACATTCAGATGCCCCTTCTCCTCTCTCCTTCTCTGCTGCACCATTCTGCCGCTCTTCTGCTCTTCTGTTCATCTGCTCATCTGCTCATGGAGCTTGGGGCTTGGGGTTTATATGGGTACAGGACAGAGGGCTTGGCAGGCCAAAAGGCAACATATGGGCCTGAAAATAAGAATGCCTGTTCCCATTTAGGGCTGCGGCTTTCCAGGCATGGGGGTGGGGCCTTTGCCAGGGAACTGCCCTCTTCTACCAAGTACTTCCCTGTCTCCTGTCTGTATCAGCCCCATCTACTATTGTAGCACTTCCTACCCTGCTGTGAGTCTCCCTACTCTTTCTCCCTATTGCAAGTGATTCCCAGGGAGATATTCTCCTATATCCTCACGAACACAGCCTTCTCATGATCTCCATCTGTCTATCTAATTATCTATCTATTTACAACAGTTTAAAGACTTGTTCAATATGTGTCATAAGTTTTAAGTGAGTTTGAATGTTTTTATTTGTTTACCTATATTTCATAATAGGGCCACAGTAAAAGAAAATTTGTAAAATAGATTTTAAAAGATTACCCCTGATCCCATAATTCTAAAACAATTGTTAGCATTTGATTGATTTTCCTTTCAACCTTCTTATCCCATGCACAGGAACTTTTCTCCAAAAGTTGCAATTCTTTTTTTTTTTTTTTTTTTTTTTTTTTTTTTTTTTTTTTTTGAGGCAGAGTCTTACTCTATCACCCAGGCTGGAGTGCAGTGGCACCATCTCGGCACACTGCAGCCTGTGCCTCCTGGGTTCAAGTGATTCCCCTGCCTCAGCCTCCCGAGTAGCTGGGATTACAGGCACCCCCACCATGCCCAGCTAATTTTTGTATTTTTAGTAGAGATGAGGTTTCACCATCTTGGCCAGGTTGGTCTTGAACTCCTGCTCTCAGGTGATCTGCCTGCCTCCGCCTCCCAAAGTGCTGGGATTACAGGTGTGAGCCACTGCGCCCAGCTCCCAAAGTTGCAATTCTAATGTATACACAAGTTTCTATACTTCTATATATGGAAGTATAGAACTTCTATATATACTTCCATATATAGAAGTATAGAACTTCTATATATACTTCCATATGTGGAAGTATAGAACTTCTATATATACTTCCATATGTGGAAGTATAGAACTTCTATATATACTTCCATATGTGGAAGTATAGAACTTCTATATATACTTCCATATGTGGAAGTATAGAACTTCTATATATACTTCCATATGTGGAAGTATAGAACTTCTATATATACTTCCATATGTGGAAGTATAGAACTTCTATATATACTTCCATATGTGGAAGTATAGAACTTCTATATATACTTCCATATGTGGAAGTATAGAACTTCTATATATACTTCCATATGTGGAAGTATAGAACTTCTATATATACTTCCATATGTGGAAGTATAGAACTTCTATATATACTTCCATATGTGGAAGTATAGAACTTCTATATATACTTCCATATGTGGAAGTATAGAACTTCTATATATACTTCCATATGTGGAAGTATAGAACTTCTATATATACTTCCATATGTGGAAGTATAGAACTTCTATATATACTTCTATATCACTAAAATGATGTAAAATAATATACATCATTTTAGTGATGTATAATATAGCACTCAATCGAAACAGTAGTTTACTTATCAGTTTCTCAATTCTTAGACATTTGGATTGTTTCTAGTTATTTGTTTTTATAAACAACATGGATATCTTTTGACAATAGATATATTTGGACATAGGGTTTTTTTTTTTCTATTTTGCATTTCTTCTTTAGAAATTCCACTTCTTTTGAAATTCCAAATAGCTAGTAATTCCCACTGGCTGAATTACTGTCAAGGGGCATGCTAAGTTTTGTGCAGAAACTTAGAATATATCTTATTGATGGCAGTAGGATCTCTTAAAGAGAATTTGTATCTGGAGCCACTCTTCTTATTTTAACCTTTTCCAAGATCCCTGATGGATTACAAATACTTCTGTTGTCTTTGAGAAAGTCATCTATCTAGTTCATAGCTAGTGTATTTTACCTAATACATTTGAAGGATTGGTCTGATGAAAGACAAAGATAAAGATGGGACTAGACAAAGAGTGTCTAAGACTCATATGAGGAATTCGTGGAGTGCCTGAGGCTGCTTTATGTCCTCAGTGATCCCTCATGTATTGGTGAAGGGAAGTGTGAACCCAAGTAAGTGGGTGCAGAGAAGCAGGTCTGTGGCACTGTCCAGGGAGGAACCCTGGGCGTGGAGACTGAACTACTGCAGCTGTGGGTCTTGTTTGAGGAACCAGATCTCAGGTTTTTCTAGAGTTTAGGGGAATGTCTCTCCTCAGCCCATTATATTTCCTTTGTTCTGAATAATCTTCTGATTGGCTCCTCTGGTATCTTGATACGATGATGGTGCCACCATGTAACTCACTGTATATGCGTTGTGATTCCAGCTATAAGGAGGCTATTCTACAAGAATATATACCTCTCTCTATACATTGTGAGCTTACTTCACTTCCAATGCCATCTTGCTGTCTTATTTTTATTTGTTATTTGCCTCTTCTGTTTTTAAATTTTTGATTTATTTTCTCTGATAACTTGCCCACATATTTCTAAGTGGCCTTAAATTTGCTGTGGAATAAGGTGTGGTTTGGATGCAGGATGAATAGATTGGCTTTCTAGTTTTAGGAATTGGTTTGGCTCATTTAGTATGAGTTTGTCATAGAAAGGCTACTCTTCTTGGGTCTAGTGCTGTCAGACCTGACTGAGTCAAGACCAGAGAGTAGATCCTGATGATTCAGCCCCAGTGCTGTCTTGGAGGACCTGTCATTAAAACACCAGCTGCCCTGAGTCACTCCACTTCCCCATTTTGTGCCCCTTCAAAAAGGCAAACACAGAGTTAGATAATATTTATGAAAGAGTTAAAAGCTCAGTTAATAGTAAAGCATACTTACTGCGTTTGTCTTTTCTGTGTCCTTATACCTTTTCCTTCTCTACTTTCAACCTACAGAAATTTTAGTTTTGATCAAAGGAGAAAAGTGAGTTTAGCTTTTAGCCTGGATTATTCTGCTGACTAAATGTTATAATTTAATGATTTAGAATTTTGGAACTAAACGCTTTCAATAGTTAGTAACTCATAATATTGAGCTTCCTAACATCTTTTTTTTAAATGAATATGTCTCTTCTTTCCTGAGTATGAACTCTACGCCCTCGCAGTATTGAGACCAAGTCTTTGCACAAAGCAGGAACTCAACACATGTGTGCTGAATTGAATACTCTCACCTCCAAACAGGGTTGAGAAAGCAAGATTTCTTGTCATCCTATCTTAAGAAACAGAAAGCAATGCTGCTAATAACATATATGTAGGATTGATACCCTTTACCAGAGACCCCTCTCACTCAGGGATGGCAAGGAAAGACTGGCCTACTAGAGGTGGTGTTCCAGTTTCTGATTTAAATTTCATTTGTAGTCAGAGGAGCTTTGTTTATTTTAAGATTAAAAAGTATTTGTATGAAGGGTGTCATACAGTTAGTGCTAATTTTTTAATTTAGGAAATGTCATTTCTATTCAGCTACTTGAAATTAAATTTCAAATCTTTGAAACGGTGAGAAACATCCCAAAATATTTCATGTAAGGTGAGAATAAGAGCCAAAGCTTGTAGCTATGGCCAAGAACCTCTGATTTGAGGTAAACATGTGATTCCTTTGGAAATCCATTCTAACACTCCAGTACATTTTCTTAATCCCCTCCAGTGAATCAGATGATTTTGAGAGTGTAGGTAGGCTGAGCCATTTTAGCATTTAAAACTAATAACTAGACTTTGGGTATCCAGCTCATCATTACTGTGATATCACTTGAGAACAAAAGAGAGAAAAGGGTTTTTTTTAAAGGGCAAATTCCATCTGGTCGCATTAGATCATAGGACTAGGAAGCTAAATAACCCATTTTCAGAGCTCTTCAGAGTGATTACAGGATGTTTGCTGCAGAGTAGCCCTGATAAAGAGAAAGGATTTAAATAATTCCACCAGTGATCATTTTTTCTCACTTTTTTTTGCTCTGTACTTTCTTGTCATGATAATTGATACTTTCTCACATGTTAATGTAACAGCTGTCTCTACTGATAATAAAACAGCTTCTTTCTTTTGCAAAGGGGACAAGTGGGAAATGTGCCTCCTAGATTCCTGACGATGGACAAATGTTCACTCACATCTTGTTTGCTACTGGCAAAATGACCCATTGAAACTGAACTTCTAAGGTTTGAGGCATTTCTTTTTTTTTTCTTTTTTTTTTTTTTTTGAGATGGAGTCTGGCTTTGTCGCCCAGGCTAGAGTGCAGTGGCAAGATGTCGGCTCACTGCAAGCTCCGCCTCCCAGGTTCACACCTTTCTCCTGCCTCAGCCTCCCGAGTAGCTGGGACTACAGGTGCCCGCCACCATGCCCAGCTAATTTTCTGTATTTTTAGTAGAGACGGGGTTTCACCGTGTTAGCCAGGATGGTCTCGATCTCCTGACCTCGTGATCCGCCCGCCTCGGCCTCCCAAAGTGCTGGGATTACAGGTGTGAGCCACCGCACCCAGCCAGTTTGAGGCATTTCTGCTGCCCAGGTTAATGCACAGACACACAGCTGTCAGCCATTGTCAGACAAGAAATGAACTCTTTAATAAAATAATGTTTTATGCTGATGTGTAACCGCTAATGGAGTACTTGCTATAATTAGAATAAAAATAGTTCAAGGGTAAGACTAGAGTAGAAACTCCCTATGTGAAATCCATTCACTGTTATTCATAGACAATCTAGTTTAGAAAAGACTTGAAGTCAAAAGAGTACACAGGAGGTCATTTATGTGGTTAATTTTATAAAAACAAGGACTTTAGTAGCAGAATCACCCCCAATATTTTGTAAAACTAAGAGGGTCGATTACGCAAAATCACAAGAAGTTTTCTGGTCATCTTGTGGCAAAAGAATGGTCTTTCCATACAATACCTAGGAATGTAGCTAACCAAAGAGGTGAAAGATCTCTACAATAAGAATTATAAAACACTGCTGAAAGAAATCAAAGATTATACAAATGGAAAAACATTCCATGCTCATTGAATGGACAGGAAGAATCAACATTGTTAAAATGGCCATACTGCTGAAAGCAATGTACAGATTCAATGCTATTCCTATCAAACTACCAATGACATCCTTTACAGAATTAGAAAAAAGTATCTTAAAATTTATGTGGAACGAAAAATGAGCCCAAATAGCAAAAACATTTCTAAGCACAAAGAACAAAGCTGGGAGCATCACATTTCCTGACTTCAAACTATACTACGAGGTTACAGTAACCAAAACAGCATGGTACTGGTACAAAAACAGACACATAGACCAATAGAACAGAATAGACAGCCCAGCAATAAAGTTACACACCTACAACCATCTGATTTTCAACAAAGTCAACAAAAGCAACAGGAAAAGGACTCCTCATTTAATAAACGCTGCTGGGATAACTGGCTAGTCATATGCAGAAGATTGAAACTGGACTCTTTCTTACACCATATACAAAAACCAACTTGAGATAAATTAAAGATTTAAATGCAAAACCTAAAACTATAAAAACCCTGGAAGACAACCTAGGAAGTACCACTCTGGACATAGCCCTGGCAAAAATTTCATGATGAAGATACCCAAAGCAATTGGAACAAAACCAAAGATTGACAAACAGGACCTAATAAGCTAAAGAGCTTCTGCACAGCAAAAGAAACCACAGAGTGACTAGACAACCTACAGAGTGGTAGAAAATATTTGCAAAGTATGCATTCAACAAAGGGCTAATATTCAGAATCTACAAGAAACTTAAACAATTCAACAAGAAAAATACAAATAATCTCATTAAAAAGTGGGGAAAGGACATGAACAGACATTTTTCAAAAGAAGACATACATGCAGCCAACAAGCATATGTAAAAATGCTCAACCTTACTAAATGCAAATCAAAACCACAGTAAGATACCATCTCACATAGTCAGAATGGCTATTATTAAAAAGTCAAAAAATAATAAATGTTGGCAAGGTTGTGGAGAAAAGGGAATGCCTATACACTGTTGGTGGGACTGTAAATTAGTTCAGCCATTGTGGAAAGCAGTTTGGCGATTTCTCAAAGAACTTAAAACAGAGCTATGATTCAACCCAGGAATCTCATTACTGGGTATATACCCAAAGGAATATAAATTGTTTTACCATAAAGATACAAGCACGTGTATGTTTATTGTAGCACTATTCACAATAGCAAAGACATGGAATCAACCTAGATACCCATCAATGGTAGACTAGATAAAGAAAATGTGGTACATATACACCATGGAATACTATGTAGCCATAAAAAGAATGAGATCATGTCCTTTGCAGCAACATGGATGCAGCTAGAGACCATTATCCTAAGCGAACTAATGTAGTAACAGAAAACCAAATACTGCATGTTCCCACTTATAAGTGGGAGCTAAACATTGAGTACACATGAACACAAAGAAAGGACCAACAGACACTGGGGCCTCTTAGAGGGTGGAGGGTGGGAGGAAGGTGAAGATTGAAAAACTACCTATTGGATACTATGCTTATTACCTTGGTGACAAAATAATCTGTACACCGAACCCCCATGACATGCAATTTACCTATGTAACAAACCTGCGCATGTACCCCTGAACCTAAAAGTTAAAAAAAGGATGGCCTTTCTTAAAGATGAGTTATATACTTTTCTTTTTCAAGAAGAAACTTATTCGAAATCCACTGACCTTTTCTGTAATACTAACAGCTATTTAAAATAAGTTTATTCTGTTTCTTCAAGGAAAAGATGATGTTTTGTTAGTGAGAGAGAAAGTATTATATCTGCTTTTCAAAAGAACTCTTCCTATGGAAGAACATCTTGAAAATAGATGTTTGGCATTGTTTCTATTACTATGCAATTTTATTGTTGAAAAATGAGTCTCATCCATAAATATCTTGATAGTTCTGCACTTCAAAAACCACAGTTTTCTTTTAAAAAATTTTAAACACAATCTATGTGATTTGCTCTGTATGTATGTATGTATGTATGTATTTATTTCTCAACTTTTATTTTAGTTTGAGAGAGTACACAAGCAGGTTTGTTACTTGAGTAAATTGTGTGTTGCTAAGATTTGGTGTACGAATGATTCTGTCATCCAGGTAGTGAGCACAGTACCCAATAGGTAGTTTTTTGACCCTTAACCTCTCTCTTGCCCTCCCCCTTCTAGTAGTCTCCAGTGTGTGTTGTTTCTATCTTTATGTCCATGTGTACTCAATGTTGATGAGCACCTAGATTGGTTTCATGTCTTTGTTATTGTGAATAGTGCTGTGATGAATATACAAGTGCATGTGTCTTTATGGTAGAACGATTTATTTTCCTTTGGGTATACACCCAGTAATGGGATTGCTGGGTTGAATGGTAGTTCTGTTTTAAATTCTTTGAGAACTCTCCAAACTGCTTCCTTAGTGTCTGAACTAATTTACATTCCTGACAATGTATAAGTGTTCCCTTTTCTCCGCCACCTTGCCAACATCTGTTATTTTTTGACTTTTTAATAATAGCCATTCTGACTGGTGTGAGATGGTATCTCATTGTGGTTTTGATTTGCATTTCTTTAACGATTAGTGAGGTTGAGCATTTTTTCATATGCTTCTTTGGCCACATGTATGTCTTCTTTTGAAAAATGTTCATGTCTTTCACCCACTTTTTAATGAGGTTATTCATTTTTTTCTTGTTGAATTAAGTTTCTTATAGATTCTGAATATTGCATTTTTGTTGGATGCATAGTTTGCAAATATTTTCTCCCATTCTATAGGTTATCTTTTTACTCTGCTGATAGTTTCTTTTGCTGTGCAGAAGCTCTTTTGTTTAATTAGGTCCCACTTGTCAATTTTTGCTTTTGGAAACTTAGTCATAAATTCTTTGCCAAGGTTGATGTCCGGAATGATGTTTCTACATTTTCTTCTAGGATTTTTCTAGTTTTATTGTTTAATTTTTTTGAGATAGGGTTTTACTCTGTCACTCAGTCTAGAGTGCAGTGGCAAAATCTTGGCTCACTGCAACCTCAACCTCCTGGGCTCAAGCAATCCTCCCACCTCAACCTTCCGAGTAGCTGGGACCACAGAGCATGCCTCTACACCTAGCTAATTAATTTTTTTTTTTCCGTGGGGACTGGGTCTCCCTACATTTCTCATGCTGGTCTTGAACTTTTGGGTTCAAGTGATCCTCCTGCTTTAGCCCCTCAAGTGCTGAGATTACAGGGGTGAGCCATCACCCCAATAGTTTTTTATAGTTATAGATATTAGATTTAAGTCTTTAATCCATCTTGAGTTGATTTTTGTATAAGGTGAAAGGTAGGGGTCTAGTTTCATTCTTATGCATATGGCTAGCCAGTTATCCCAGCAGCATTTATTGAATAGGGAGTCCTTTCCTCATTGTTATTGTTGACTTTGTTAAAGATCAGATGGTTGTAGGTGTGCAGCATTATTTCTGGGTTCTCTATCCTGCTTCATTGGTCTATGTGTCTATTTTTGCTCCAGTGCCATGCTCTTTTGGTTACCATAGCCTTGCATTATAGTTGCAGGTCAGGTAATGTGATGCCTCCAGTTTCGTCCTTTTTGCTTAGGTTTGCTTTGGCTATTCAGGCTCTTTTTTGGTTCCATATATAGTTTAGAACAGGTTGTTTTCTAATTCCGTAAAAAATGATGTTGGTAGTTTAAAAAACAGAATTTTCTAACTGTGTAAACATCTCCAGGAAAGTCAGTGGGTTTGATTAGTTTTTGAGAACTGATTGACATGAGAAAGTAAGAATTATTTGTGAACCTAATATCAACAAAAGCCTTTGCATAGTGGTTGGGATTAAAAAATAAGAAACTTGGCCAGTGATGTATCTTTTATTTCATTTGGACCTGTTTGTCACTCTGAATTAGGTTTTCAGTTGTACTGCCATTAAAACCAACTCTTGGAATAAACTGAACCTATACAGCATCAAATGTGAACTTTTGCATCATAGAATTAAATGAAGTATTTTAAAACAATGAATAATAAATTAGTATTAAAAATTAAAATATTTATAATTTTGTTATAGAGAATACATTTTTATTAGTTATAAACTAAAAATATTAAAAATACCTTCACTCAAAGAAAAAATAATAAAAACAAACAAAAAACAACAAAAATACTTTCATTCCTCTTTTACATTTTTAAAAAAGATTTAAAAATTTTATTCATATAATTTATCAATAAATGTAATTATGAATACAGTTTGTAAATAAAAATATATCCATTGAAAGTATGTAGTTAAATTTTTTTACTGATAGAGATGTATAGTCAAAAAAGTTCAGAGATCATATATATTATATATATTTGGGATTGAGATACAGTTTTCTTGTTTTTCAGTCACTCAAGCTGGAGTATAGTGGCATGATCTTAGCTCACTGCAGCCTCAAATTCCTCACTGTCACTTGGGCTGGAATATAGTGGCATGATCTCAGCTCAATGCAGCCTCAAATTCCTGGGCTCAAGTATTCTTCTGCCTCAGCTCCTGCGCAGCCAGGGCTACAGGTGTGTGGCACCACGCCTGGTTAATTTTTACATTATTTGTAGAGATGAGGTCTTGCTACGTTGTGCAGGCTAGTGTCAAAGTCCTGGCCTCAAGTGATTCAAGTGATCTCCTGTCTCAGCCTCCCAAAGTGCTGGGATTACATTCATGAGCCACTGCACCCAATCAAGACTCAAGACACAGATATATATATATATGTGTGTGTGTATATATACACATATATATGTATATATGTGTGTGTATATATACACATATATATGTATATATGTGTGTGTATATATACACATATATATGTATATATGTGTGTGTATATATATATTCAAATTTCTAGGAAAGAGAAAATGATTGATATAGTTGGGTCAGGTGTCCTTCTCTGATCCAGTCAGCGGTAGCCCAGGAAGGAGGGTTGCATAATACAGGCATCCTCAATATCTGAGTGTTTATCATCTCATTCACAATGATTATGTAGTTTCATAGGGAAGCAAAATTTACCATCACATGAGAATAATCATTCACTAACTTGTACAATTTGTCTTCTCTCAAATATCCTCCTGCTTAATGCTAGCACCTCCATCTCTTCACCTATCAACACATTTTTTCCAGTCAGTTTTACTGATGGATATTGTAACATCTGATAGTATAAATGCAAAATCAATATAAATAGGTTCTGAAGTGAAATTATCTTGCAAACATTTCAGGATTTCATGAAGTTGGAGAAAATGATGTTGGAGTATTGCTCAAATTATACATACATGAAGCTTGGGTAAGTCAGATAAATTAACAACTAGAGAAGAGAAAGCCAGTAAGGATTATGACATTATAGTCTTCAGCAAATGATTTGAATACCAAAAGATGTTAATATTGGTAAATTAGTAATCCTTTGACTATTTTTGGAGTAGTGACCTTCTTTAAGATTGTACTACAGAAATCGAGTGTGAAATGAAAGATATTTTATGCTACTATTATGACCTTTTTGTTGGTGCTATTTATGCCATCCTAGCATAAATATTTGAGTTCTTCAAAGACTTAGTACATGGTTGCACCAGTTATAACCTAATTAAAAAGTAAGATAAAACAAACTTATTGTCTTAAATTTTAATTTCATTTACTAAAAGTAAAGTCCTCATCAGATGTTTTTCATCAGCTATTTACTGTGGAACTTTGATTGCCACCTGAGTATTTGATGCTCAGTTTACAAAGGAGAACGTCCTTGTTCCAAGGCTGACCCTCCAGAGAGCTGTGGGTGGGAAGCGGTCTTCTGCACCCAGCCCTTGGCACCTTCTTTGACTAATCCATGCTCATTTGCTTCTTCAAACCAGATTCAGTTTGAACCCTAATCCCTCAGGGTCTTTCCAAGTATCTGGCTTGTTGATGTGAAGATTTAATTTGAACTAAGGTGTTTATGAAAGGCAATAGCTCAAACTGTTACTCTTTCCTGAACTGGTACTCTTTCCTTTGTTTGAAGAGCAACACTCAGTGCCTAACACCAAGAGGTAAAATGGGAGAGGTCTGTGGATTCCAAGGGATGATTATGTGCAGGGGGACCTTCTCTGCCACCTGCCACTTGTACATGCCCTGTCTGTGACCTTTGCAGAAGGCCAACTCTGCTATCCGTTCGTCTCTGCGTTATCAACACTAAAATCCCTGCTCATCCCCAAATTAACATTTTGTCCTTAATCATCTCACAGAGTAGGAATGGCTAATAGATTTCCTCTCATGTGCCAGCTCTGACTGCCTGGGGAGCTGCAATAAGGATTCTGGGACTATACCTGGTTCAGCAGGAAAGACTGTATCAATGGATTCCTGATGGCTGTCAGGGTCACTGGAGGTGTGATGGTAGCACACACCACATTCCTGCTATCTTTTTCCTCAACTGTGCTATGCAGTGAATATTCCTGTACCACATCAAGGAAGTAATTTGCTACCATTTAGCTCTTGACTGTTCACCAAGACTCAGGGTTTACTATTGAGCTCCTAGGACCTCCAGAAGGTACCAGGGTGCACCTTTTATATATGGCTAAACGCATATAAGATTAGTAGCACCATCTTAGTGTACAAAGAATAGCACATTATTCCTAACTGATACAGCTAAATACACTTGATTTTATTAAAGGGCTTACATTAGAGAGTACCAATGTATAAGACTGTCAAGCACCATGCTCTAGACACAAGAATATTTCAGATTTGGTTATTCATTCTTTCAAATATACCCAGAGTAGACATTTCTGCACAGCTCAGGCTTAGGGAAGACATTATAATTTTCCTACCGTCACTTTCAACACTATGCACTTTTATACTTTCTGTACTGTCAGAGAAATTTGAGCAGCTTTCAGAGGTAGGAGCTTCAGGGACAATTCTGTTAGCAAAAGAATCCCAGGGGGAAACAGTAAGGGCTAAGGACCCTTATTTTAGCCAGTACACACAAGAACCTTAGGAAGTAAAGCTGTTTGCTGTGGTTTTATTGGACTCTAGTTAACTTCACCCCTGAACCCCAAGGTCCCTACAGGAATGAGATGTGCCTCATCAACGTTCAATCCTTAAAAAGGCTGTTCCTTGTGGGACGGTCTCAGAGCACTGTGGTTAAAGTAATACAGTCCAGTTTTCAAAACTAATTTCCAAATATCTCAGCCATCTAGCTGCCTTTCTAGAACTCTGCAAGGGGAGATAAAGAGACCACAGCAATATACCTTCCACATATCCTTTTCTTTCTCATCTATTTCCTTCACACTGAAGCTGCTCCATCTCCCTTACCCAGCCTTCCTCCAGCAAAACCCTCCATACCCCCCTCCCAAGCTCTAGACCCTATGCTTCTTACCTACTCCCCAATTTCCTTCCTCTGCATTACCAGGCCCCAAAGGGCTTATTTCACAAAGCAGCATGGTCCATGGATGGAAGTTGAGTGAGAAGGGTCCAAACAAAATTCTGTTAAGCATGGGAGGAGGAGAAATGCTTGGAATTAACATACATGACTTGCTTTTCTTTCATCATGTACATCATATACATCCCTTAAAGGTCCACTTTTAGGTTGTTGTATCCTGGATTGTATTACAGTCACTGGGAAAGAAAGATTGAATTGCAATTCTCACACTGGGGTGGCAGGGCGGGGGAGGTGGTCTGCAGAGTCTCCTCCACTCCAGACCTGGGTCTGCCTTCGGGATGCTATTGCGTCTGGGTGTCTGTCTGGGTTGGAAGCTGTTGCTCTGGGTCCCTACCAGTGTACTCCTGAGACTTGCTTGTCATGGCCTCTTTCCACTGGCATCAGGGGCTGTCCTGTCTAGATTGCACCTTTTGGGGTGGTTGTCTTTCTCTTCCACTCCTCATATGCCCTTCTGGAGTGGGTCTTGAGTTCACACATTCAGTTGGTAATATAGGTCCAAGGTCTATTTTATTAAAGTGTGAAGCAATTTGGATGATACCAATACACACAGGCAGGTTAAATTACAGCTACAGAGCTGCTCTAATGAGTCCTACCACTTTTATGGCTCCTGCTTTGTTTCACTTCCAGAGCGCTGCTTAGGCCCGACCCCGGCTTCTGTTTAGGCTCAGCCTCTTAGGTGGATCTTAACATTTTCTCTACCAGCTTCATCCACAGCTTCTTGGTGGAGTTTGGAGTTCTTTCCTCTCTTGGTTTTCTCTTCTCAGGGGAATTTGTCTCTGCTTGCTGTTCCTTGATCTCAAACCTTTTCTTTCTTTTTTAAAATAAAACATTTCATCTTTATACATGGAAGTCAAAGATACATGCTCATTGTAAAAATCAGGAAAATACAAAACCTGCAAAGAAAAGCCATCCACGATTATCCACAATCCTAGGAATAACCACAGTTA